>NC_000012.12:29833162-29985857 GCF_000001405.40 Homo sapiens | reverse complement strand
GCTAAAAAGAAAAAGCTATCAAGCCATGTAAATATTATTAAGTGTAATAAGCCAGTCAGAAAAGGCTACCTACTGTATAATTCCAAGAATATGATATTCTTAAAAAGTAAAACTATGAAGAAGTAAAAAGATGAGTGGTTTTCAAGGGGTAGGGGGAGAGGGAGAGACAAACGGGCAGAACATAGAAGATTTTTAGGGCAGTGAAACTACTCTGTATGATAATATAATAGTGAATACATATCATTATATATTTCTCTAAACCCACAAAATTTACAACCAAAGAGTAAACTTATGTAAACAATGGACTTTAGGTGATAATGATGTATGTCTTCATCCATTTTCTATTGCTATGACAGAATACTACAGACACAGTATGTTATAAAGAAAAAAGTTGTTTATTTAGCTTATGGTTTTGGAGGCTGTTGAGTCCAAAGGCCTGGCACTGGTATCTGGCAAGGGCCTTCGTGCTGCATCATAAGATGACAGAGTGCATCACATGGCAAGAGGTCAAGAGCAAGAGAACCAGAGAGAGCTTGCTTTGATGACAAAGCCGCTCCCACAATAATGAACCTACTCCTGTGATAGTAGCATTAAGCCATTCTTGAGGGCACAGCCCTTATTAATCCGTTAACCCATTCATGAAGGCAGAGGGTTGCGTTTTCAGCACATGAAGTTTTAGGGGACACACTCAAACCACAGCAATGTGTCAGTGTAGGTTTATCAGTTGTAAAAAATATACTACTTGGTGGGGGATGTTGATAACATGGAAGACTAGACATATGTGAGGGCAGCCAGTATACAGGAAATCTCCATATCTTCTACTCAGTTTTGCTGTGAATCTAAAACTGTTTTATAAATAAAGTCTCTTTCAAAAAAACAAAGTGTTCATCAAAAATTTTCCCAACTGTCAGAGAAATATAAATTACAAAGAAAAAAATCAGACCAAAGTTTCATGTTTTATAGAGGAGTAAAACATATATATAAAATGTATTAAACATTCATATATCTTCACTGGGAGACAGTTTACCAAAATTTACATGACTATCTCAGGGTTATAAGATTATTCTTGTTTCTATTTTCTCTTTAAGGTATTTTATTTGCCAAATGTTCTGTAATGAATATCTCATACTTTGGCTATTAGAGAATGTCATTCTAAACTGAACGGACACAGAGTAGGTGATATTAACTTTAACAATTAATTAAAATTTAGTCATTTAAATGGCATTCTTGAGTGAATAGAAGAGTATTATGTTCCTCTGAAAACTATAGAATGGAAAGAAATGTTTTAGTAAATTCTTTTTATTATTGAAGTGTATTTTTCTGTCAGATTCAAACAGAAAAATAATGCTATCCTTAAATCAAAGCTCAGAATAAGGATATAAAATTAGCAAAAATCACCAGTAGTTAATTTTACAGGATTATTGAAGCTGGTTAGGTACTCTCAATTTTTCTCTGCTTACATTATAAAAATAAATCATGTTTTATCAACTATGCTCCTGGAAAGAAACATGTCTCTCGAGAAATGAAAAAAAAGCTAGAAATATACTGCATAGTAATTTTTGAAATATTTTATCTTCTCATACCAGGATGAAAATACTTTCTGCTTTGACAACATCATTTTTGTGTGGAGCTCCTTATTGCAAATAGTCAAATGATGTTGGTCATTTTCTAAATAAAACATGACCTTTTAACATGCACTAGAGAGAATGGAAAAAACACAAGGACTATTAATCATTTTAATGGTTATTTACACAAGTAATTGGAAGATTGTCTTTACTTTGATATTACTGGTTTTGTAGAGGTTCCTGAGGGAGAGATTATACCCCTTCCTATTTGTCCCATTCCCATTTTAACTACAGCATTTTTTATGTTCTCCATATACACACACAGCAGGCAGGATAATAATTGGGGAAATTCAGGGCTAAGATTATACTATCAAAAACCAGTTCTAACATGCGTTTGTTACCGCTACAGTGACACACTGATTTCAAAGACAATAGTTAGATTTGACATCATGCTTATAGTAATCTATAATAATCAATCTGTTGCCTTGCTTATATTTTTTCAAATTAATACAATATTGATAGACAGGATGACCATTCTGCTTCTTTGACTTTTTACTTTATTTTAAAAATATTTCAGAATTACTGCTGCCCGTTCCCTTTTTAGCATAGCATATTTTATTTCTGCAGTATGAGCAAAATCTCCCCTGGAAAATGTTGCCCCTACGGTTATGGATTTAATTTAAAACCTAAATTTAAAAAAATATCAGAACTCTTTTCTTAAAGCTTTAACAAGCATAAGTACTAGCTTTCCTTTTGTGTGTGTGGTGGGGGGGCAAACTTTCTTATTTTTACTGATGCTAGCGCATTATAGCTTGTGGTTATATATTTCAGGAAATCAGAGAACCATCTGCCAGAGGCTTCAAGGCTTTGTAACTATTTAGTTTGGGGATAGTTACATGCTGTTGTGTACCAAACGACTCCCAGAATTAGTGGTTTAAAAAAACAATTTTTTATTTGCTGAAAATTCTACAATCAGTCTGGGCTCAGCTGGGCAGCTCGTCTCTACTTGTTGTGGTGTCAGTTGGGCAAACTCATGCATTTGCAGTGAGCTGATGTCACGGCTGGGTCTGGGGCATCCAAGATGGACTTGCTCATATGTTTAGCACCTCATCTATGGTGACTGGAATGAATGGATGCTGGCTGGTCTTTCTTTCTTCAAAGTGGTCTTTTATCTTCCAGAGTCTCTCTCTGTACATGGCTAGAGATCCATGAGGAGAGCTTGAGCATCTTTGCACAGCATCTCAGGGAAGCAGGCAAGCAAAAGCAGAAGGTCCCAATCCCCTTAAAGCCTAGGCCTCATAGTTGTACAGCATTGCTTTTGTCATATTCTATCACTCCATGAAATTAATATTAGAAGATACTACCCAAGTTTATGAAATCAGGGCAGAGTGACTCGTTTGGAGCCATTGTGTAACAAAAAAAAGTCTACTCATCTGACAAAGGGCTAATATCCAGAATCTACAAAGAACCCAAACAAACTTACAAGAAAAAAACAAACAACCCCATCAAAAAGTAGGCAAAGGATATGAACAGACACTTCTCAAAAGAAGACATTTATGCAGCCAACAGACACACGAAAAAATGCTCAACATCACTGGCCATCAGAGAGATGCAAATCAAAACCACAATGAGATACCATCTCACACCAGTTAGAATGGCGATCATTAAAAAGTCAGGAAACAACAGGTGCTGGAGAGGATGTGGAGAAATAGGAACACTTTTACACTGTTGGTGGGACTGTAGACTAGTTCAACCATTGTGGAAGTCAGTTTGGCGATTCCTCAGGGATCTAGAACTAGAAATACAATTTGACCCCACCATCCCATTACTGAGTATATACCCAAAGGATTATAAATCATGCTGCTATAAAGACACATGCACATGTATGTTTATTGCGGCACTATTCACAAAGCAAAGACTTGGAACCAACCCAAATGTCCAACAATGATAGACTGGATTAAGAAAATGTGGCACATATACACCATGGAATACTATGCAGCCATAAAAAATGATGAGTTCATGTCCTTTGTAGGGACATGGATGAAGCTGGAAACCATCATTCTCAGCAAACTATCACAAGGACAAAAAACCAAGCACCGCATGTTCTCACTCATAGGTGGGAATTGAACTATGAGAACACATGGACACAGGAAGGGGAACATCACACACTGGGGACTGTTGTGTGGGGTGGGGGCAGGGGGGAGGGATAGCATTAGGAGATATACCTAATGCTAAATGACGAGTTAATGGGTGCAGCACACCAACATGGCACATGTATACATATGTAACAAACCTGCACGTTGTGCACATGTACCCTAAAACTTAAAGTATAATAATAATAATAAAAAGTCAGTCATCCTGAGAAATGCTTCTATCATTCTATCATTCCATTACAATGGATGCAAATAATAAATTAAACATATCTTCCTCATCCAGTTACCATTCAAAATCAACTCACTATTCCTACACAAGAACTTCAAAATAGTCATCCAAGAAAACCACAGAAGTAATACAAAAAAACTGCTGGAATAAAATACAGAAGTAACCCCCTAAGTGATGTGTACTTGGCCAACAGTTGGCTGATTAATTTTTAAAGTAGGGAATGATGAAACAAATTATATGTGACCTTAAACATTTCATTTCATTTTAACCTAAAATGAGCAAACAGACATTTATTCATGAACATTTTAATGTAAGGCCAAGGGCTTTTCTTTGAATAAAATTCTATTGGTTAGAATACATGATATGGTTTGACTCTGTCCCCACCCAAATCTCATTTTGAATTGTACTCCTATAATTCCCATGTGTTGTGTGAAGGACCCCGTGGAAGATAATTTGAATCATGAGGGCAGTTTCCCCCATACTGTTCTCATGGTAGTGAATACGTCTCACGAGATCTGATGGTTTTATCAGGGGTTTCCGCTTTCGCATCTTCCTCATTTTCTCTTGCCACCGTCACGTAAGAAGTACTTTTATGGTGAAACTCCACCCCCCCATCTCTACTAAAAATACAAAAATTAGCCGGGCATGGTGGCGTGCGCCTGTAGTCCCAGCTACTCAGGAGACTGAGGCAGGAGAATAGCTTGAACCCAGGAGATGGAGGTTGCAGTGAGCCGAGATTGCGCAACTGCACTCCAGCCTGGCAACAGAGCAAGACTCTGTCTCAAAAACAAAAAAGCAAACAAACAAAACAAGAAGTGCCTTTAGCCTCTTGCCATGATTCTGAGGCCTCTCCAGCCATGTGTAAGGCCGATTAAACCTTTTTCTTCCCAGTCTCAGGTATGTCTTTATTAGCAGTGTGAAAGCGAACTAATACAATACCACTTCATCTTTCTTGGAAAACCCCACCAATAATGATAACTAATGATTATCAATTTTGATAGCTTTGAAGTGGAATGAGAAACACAGTTGCATCTCAATCTGTTTAGAAAACTTCGATTTTTATACTTTCTTCCAGTCTCTTACAGTTATCTTACCCACACCTGCTTCAATAGCACAAATATTTAAGCAACCTCCTCATCATGATGTTATCTTTCCATTTCACTTGCATAATTTTCATAAAAATTGCAATTAGTCCTTTTTACATTTATATTTTACCAACTTTCAGATAATTTAATTTATGTAATATTGATAGGAAGTACAACAGGATTAACTTTGGGAACCAACTCAGCTGACTCTTAGCAACTGTACAACTCAATACAGTGGGAGCAGAAGTGCACAGGCTTACTAGAGAATGTTTACTAGGTTGTGGGCAACCACAGTATGTTTTACAGAGGAAATGAGAATGTCTGTTAATCTGGTGACATGATAAGTGGAATTGTTTAAGAGTTTCTATTATAGGTGAAATACATCCTAGGTAAATTAGTAGTACAAACTATGAGTTTCACTATTATTCAGATTCTTCCATGTGACTCAATTTTTGGTTGATTCATATGGGCTGGTCATCAATAACCTTGCATCCAGGAATGTAAAATAAAATTCTCTATTGCTTGAGTGGTTACGAAGGTTTCAATGCTGCAACAGCAGATTGTCTAGGTTCTATTAAACATTTGTTCATCTAGATGCCCTTTCTCCAACTCTGCTCCCGTAAGATCGTGTTGTACCCAGGGTCTACACAATTTGCTCATGTGCCACAGTATTTGGTTATCAGCCATGGGCAACCTGATAAAATGTCTGTGATCCTCAGTCAACCTAGAAGGTCATTTCCTTCTGCAAAAGTATTTATTTCAGCACAAAAATGTATAGATTAAATAAGATTTGTTTGTTGTGGACAAATAAGGGATATGCTGTCATGCTCTGAAGGAAACCCAAATGTACTTGCACAGCCAAAGGGCTTTTGGAAATGTCTGGTCAATTCTCTATCTATCTGTTACTGAGTTTTTGAACAACAACAACAACAACAACAAAGCTGGAAGAAAAATGTGTTCAAAGAGTTTCAAGTCCTTGACTTTCTACTGGTAAACTAAAAGGAAGAAATAATGCTTTTGAGTAAGGAGTCTTCATTTCCATTTTTAATTTGCTAGCACATGAGACAGGAAAGGACTGAAATTGTTTTGATTAAAATTAATTTAATACATAAGGTAGAGACTTTCCATGAGAACAGTGTCCATTAATATTAAACTTTGTCATTTCTCCTGTAAAAAAATTCTATTAAACTGTGATAAATGTGGATTTAGTAAACAAAGTAACAAATGATTGGATATTGAAAAAACACCATATTATTTGTATTGTAATGCAATCTCCAAAAATCTAATCTCAGTTATAAATTAATCTGCTCTTCAATGATATCCTATGATATCACTTAATAATACTATTTTATTACAACTTTAAATGCAAAAGTTCAGTCAATGAAGTTACTGATATGAATGTTAAAGATTAAAATTAACTGAATATTCTTAAAAGGTCTTTGCTTATTTGGAAGAACATTTAAAATAGCCCTCTTATAGCTATAGGTGGCCTTGGATCCCAGCTGCCATGTGTTTCTGGAAGAACTAAAATACCAATGCCATTTGTTAGCAGGGTTTAACAAGCAGAGAGGAGTTCCCCTTTGGAGTGGTGGTGCCATTTTTGGATTCATCTACAGAGACCCCCAAATATCCTTTATGATGTTACAATTAGAGACTTGAAATTATTTTTCTCTTCGTGTTCATAAATATATGTGTTGCATCAAGTCTAGCAAACTAGTAAATGGATGTTCATCAAATAAAAGAAATGAAGACTGGGTGCAGTGGCTCACATCTGTAATCCCAGCACTTTTGGAGTCGGAGGTGGGTGGATCACCTGAGGTCAGGGGTTCTAGACCAGCCTGGCCAACATGGAAACCCAATCTCTACTGAAAATACAAAAATTAGCCGGGCATAGCGGCACACACCTGTAATCCCAGCCACTCAGGAGGCTGAGGCAAGAGAATAGCTTAAACCCAGGAGGCAGAGGTTGCAGTGAACTGAGATTGCACCAGCGCACTCCAGCCTGGGCAGCAGAGTGAGACTCCGCCTCAAAAACAACAAAAAAGAAGTTAAGTGTTTCATTTTAAAAATGAACTAGAATGTTAAATTCATAAAGGTTGCACTTGTAAAGTAAATCACATATTTTTTATTCTAAAGGGTTTGTTTTGGTTTTGGTCTCATACCTTTCTTTCACTGCACAGTTGAATGGACATTCATGGATCACTCTTCCGTGTGAGGTTCCAAGTGAAGGCTCAAGTCACTCTTCCATTCATGGAGTTCTGCCTACCCCCACCTCATGCAGAGTGAAAGCCCTATCAGCCCTGCCTGACTTGTCCCTTCTCTGTCCCCATCGTCTGCTGCTAACTCTGGGGTCCCTCATTTCCAGCCACACAGGGCACCGTGAGGCCCCTGGAACTCATACCACAGGTATAGCCCTGCCTGCCAGTGAATCAAATTGTATAAAATGTAAGAAAAACAAGGAAAGTCTGCATGTTCCTGTATGTTCCAACACTCTAGGTTCTCATGTAGGATAATATTTGGTGATTGAAAACTTCATAATCCCAGAATATTCAAAAGTGCTATTTTGATATTCCTTATAGTTGTGTATAGATGTACAAAGACTCTTTTTTTTTTTGGTTGATTTTTTTCATTTTTTTTTTTCCGTGAAAGAACTTTTCAGAACTCAAGATTTCTGTGAGGATTATAAGTGGCTATTCTAACCTATCTACTTGGGGTTCCAGATAGGAGGTCTAATCTAGTCTTGCCCAAAGCAGAACCTCTGCCCTGTCCAAATTGCTAGAGAAGGAATGCAGGAAATGCGCCTCCTCCCTGTGTCTTTCAAAGGATGGTTATTGACTGGGTACCTACTTTTCTTGCTACCACTGTCTGTTCCCTGAGTCAGGCCACTAACCAAAGTGCTATTTATGCTACAAAGTGTTATAACAAGAAAGGTTTCATGAGCACATTGACCTATCACATAGAAACCTGACTGACCTTTGAATATTATAACGCTAGATGTAGACTTTTAAATTGAGCATGCCTGGAATTCCACTTGATGCTGGCATTTTAGAGAGGCTTCAAGAAAAATTGTTCAGGTGCCTGTGAGATCATCTGCTTTGGATAATGAAGGATTGACACACCTTAAAGTGTTCTCAACACACATTCTCTTATAGTCTCGAAATACAGAGAGACAGCTACTCATCTTTCACACCCAAAAGTACACAGTGTAAAAGAAAGTTGTGTCGAGTGTCACCGAATGTCACTGGGTTAGTGACGGAGAAATAATGGATGATATCTTGACTGACGGGAGGAAGTAGAAAGCCATTAACAGCAGTGAAGAAAATCATTTTGGGAAATGAAAAAAGGATAGGAGAGAAGCAGAGCATGGAGCTTCAGCGTCGTGTGGGTTCACTAAGGCTGTGGAGGCAGCTGAGTGCCACCACCCAGAGGTTCTGCAGTTGGACAAGCTCTGCTCCATTTACAGGTGACAGAGCCAAACTCCACAGCCCCACAACCCCCAGGGGTAGGATCAGAATGGAAACAACTGCAATCACAATTAATGCACATATTGCAAATACATAGTGGTGTGTGGTTTTATAGAAATCATATCCATATCATTGGTGTATAAGAATGCTTGTGATTTTTGTACATTGATTTTGTATCCTGAGACTTTGCTGAAGTTGCTTATCAGCTTAAGGAGATTTTGGGCTGAGACAATGGGGTTTTCTAGATATACAATCATGTCGTCTGCAAACAGGGACAATTTGACTTCCTCTTTTCCTAATTGAATACCCTTTGTTTCCTTCTCCTGCCTGATTGCCCTGGCCAGAACTTCCAACACCATGTTGAATAGGAGTGGTGAGAGAGGGCATCCCTGTCTTGTGCCAGTTTTCAAAGGGAATGCTTCCAGTTTTTGCCCATTCAGTATGATATTGGCTGTGGGTTTGTCATAGATAGCTCTTATTATTTTGAGATACGTCCCATCAATACCTAATTTATTGAGAGTTTTTAGCATGAAGGGCTGTTGAATTTTGTCCAAGGCCTTTTCTGCATCTATTGAGATAATCATGTGGTTTGTTTATATGCTGGATTACATTTATTGATTTGCGTATATTGAACCAGCCTTGCATCCCAGGGATGAAGCCCAATTGATCATGGTGGATAAGCTTCTTGATGTGCTGCTGGATTCGGTTTGCCAGTATTTTATCGAGGATTTTTGCATTGATGTTGATCGGGGTATTGGTCTAAAATTCTCTTTTTTTGTTGTATCTCTCTCAGGCTTTGGTATCCGGATAGTGCTGCCCTCATAAAATGAGTTAGGGAGGATTCCCTCTTTTTCTATTGATTGGAATAGTTTCAGAAGGAATGGTACCAGTTCTTCCTTGTACCTCTGGTAGAATTTGGCTGTGAATCCATCTGTTCCTGGACTCTTTTTGGTTGGTAAGCTATTGATTATTGCCACAATTTCAGAGCCTGTTATTGGTCTATTCAAAGATTCAAATTCTTCGTGGTTTAGTCTTGGGAGGGTGTATGTGTCGAGGAATTTATCCATTTCTTCTAGATTTTCTAGTTTATTTGCGTAGAGGTGTTTGTAGTATTCTCTGATGGTAGTTTGTATTTCGTGGGATCGGTGGTGATATCCCCTTTATCATTTTTTATTGCATCTATTTGATTCTTCTCTTTTTTTCTTTATTAGTCTTGCTAGTAGTCTATCAATTTTGTTGATCCTTTCAAAAAACCAGCTCCTGGATTCATTAATTTTTTGAAGGGTTTTTTGTGTCTCTATTTCCTTCAGTTCTGCTCTGATTTTAGTTATTTCTTGCCTTCTGCTAGCTTTTGAATGTGTTTGCTCTTGCTTTTCTAGTTCTTTTAATTGTGATGTTAGGGTGTCAATTTTGGATCTTTCCTGCTTTCTCTTGTGGGCATTTAGTGCTATAAATTTCCCTCTACACACTGCTTTGAATGTGTCCCAGAGATTCTGGTATGTTGTGTCTTTGTTCTCATTGGTTTCAAAGAACCTCTTTATTTCTGCCTCCATTTCGTTATGTACTCAGTAGTCATTCAGGAGCAGGTTGTTCAGTTTCCATGTAGTTGAGCAGTTTTGAGTGAGTTTCTTAATCCTGAGTTCTAGTTTGATTGCACTGTGGTCTGAGAGACAGTTTGTTATAATTTCTGTTCTTTTACATTTGCTGAGGAGAGCTTTACTTCCAACTATGTGGTCAATTTTGGAATAGGTGTGGTGTGGTGCTGAAAAAAATGTACATTCTGTTGAGTTGGGGTGGAGAGTTCTGTAGATGTCTATTAGGTCCGCTTGGTGCAGAGCTGAGTTCAATTCCTAGGTATCCTTGTTAACTTTCTGTCTCATTGATCTGTCTAACCTTGACAGTGGGGTGTGTGAACTCCCATTCACAATTGCTTCAAAGAGAATAAAATACCTAGGAATCCAACTTACAAGGGATGTGAAGGACCTCTTCAAGGAGAACTACAAACCACTGCTCAATGAAATAAAAGAGGATACAAACAAATGGAAGAACATTCCATGCTCATGGGTACGAAGAATCAATATCATGAAAATGGCCATACTGCCCAAGGTAATTTATAGATTCAATGCCATCCCCATCAAGCTACCAATGACTTTCTTCACAGAATTGGAAAAAACTACTTTAAAGTTCCTATGGAACTGAAAAAGAGCCCGCATCGCCAAGTCAATCCTAAGCCAAAAGAACAAAGCTGGAGGCATCACACTACCTGACTTCAAACTGTACTACAATGCTACAGTAATCAGAACAGCATGGTACTGGTACCAAAGCAGAGATATAGACCAATGGAATAGAACAGAGCCCTCAGAAATAATACCTCACATCTACAACCATCTGATCTTTGACAAACCTGACAAAAACAAAAATGGGGAAAGGATTCCCTATTTAATAAATGGTGCTGGGAAAACTGGCTAGCCATATTTAGAAAGCTGAAACTGGTCACTATTTTTCATTTAAAAGAGCAGAGAAGTACAATTTAAAAATAGAATTTCATTCAATAATTCTCCTACCCACTGGTACTTAGTTAACCCCTCAGCTATCAGGCCAATTCAGTTATTTATCAAAATTCATTCCCTGGAGGGAAACAGACAGCAATGGTCTAAGTGTAAGTTGTCTTGGAAAATAAACAGGACAGAGTCCTTCTAGGTCATTCCTAGAAGTCATCTGTATTAACTCATTGTGTGAGGTCAGGTTATTTAGTGGACCGACCTCTCATTTGAGAATGTGTCACACTTTCCTAAATCACCTAAGAATTTTCTTGGATCTGTCTATTATGGACCAAGAAGGAGTACAATTATAGCAGAAAGTGACTATCTGAATTATTAATAATGATTAAGAGGCAGGCCATTAAGATTACCTACTTTTATCAAAGGGAGATTTATTGACTTGATAATTCAAATGTTATGGCGGGAACAAGGTTCAGTTTAAGATCACAGACTAGTCATATTTTCCCTTTGATTTTTTTCAATATGAAATAGTAAATAAATATCTTATTTTAAGCATAGTTAACTTTGAATAAATTAATGTGTAAGAATGGCAATCAGACAAATCATGGTGTGTACACTCAGAAAGGAAATTGCAAACAGGAGTAAGAAAGTTGCTGAAATAATAAAAAATGACCAAACTCTTTGGGTTTTGAAAAGATTATTTGAAAATCTAAAGAAAATGACTGAAATCAAATATATAATTAAACTTTAATTATATAGGTTTCATCAATAAGTAATCTTTGTTTATTGTCTGGATTATAGTCCCACTGTATTGTTTTCTGACCTCAGCCTGTGGACTTTTGGTTGACATTAAGAATAATAGAGCTGAATGAATATGTATTTTTATTTACAATTTTCTATAAGATGTAGAAAGCCAAGTTTTATACACTTTCTTAATGTCATCTATTCTGAACTGGCTTTCCATAATGCCATATTTTTCAGGGATGTAATATTCATGTTGTATAATAGGAAACAAATCTCCTACTGAAGAAATTGTATTAGTCCATTCTCACACTGCTGTAAAGAACTACCTGAGACTGGGTCATTTATAATGAAAAGAGGTTTAACTGGCTCATAATTCCGTAAGCTGTACTGTATAGGAAGCATAGCTGGGGAGACGTCAGGAAATTTTCAATCGTGGCAGAAGGCGAAGGGGAAGCCGGCATGTCCTACATGGCTAGAGCAGGAGGAAGAGGCCGAGGGGATTGGGGGTGCCACAGGCTTTTACAACAACCAGATCTCCTGAGAACTCACTCATTATCATGAGAATAGGAAGGAGGAAGTCTGTTCTCATAATTAAGTCACCTCCCACCAGGCCCCTCTTCCAACACTGGGGATGACAATTGGACATGAGATTTGGGCAGGGACAGAAATTCATACTATGTCAGAAATGAGATTTCAGTAGCCCAGTTTCTTGAAATGTGAGTTGATTTCACTTCTGTCTCTGAGAACTGGCCCCTAAAAGCTGAATACATTGGCCAATGAAATGAAGTTAAGTAATTATCCCAGTGGAAGATTTAATTAGTAGCTATGTATTTATCATCCCCTTAGTGGGCTATTATCCCTGAAAGTTTAACTGAATCATCTTTTTGAAAAACTCATAGATTTACTAGAGACACTATCCTCCTTATACTTTCTTTAAAGAACACTAGTTCTTAGTAATATGAGTAAAATAATAATTTATGTATTTTTAAATGATATATAGTTTACTTAATTTCTTCCAGCTATGGTTTCCTCACCTGTAAGGTAGGGACAATAATAATTTTAAAGAATAGTGAAGACTAAATAATTGAATGAATGGAAAAACACTTCATAAACTGTAAAATATAATGCAAATATAAAGTATCAGCCCTATTGTCATAGTTTATTTGGACTTATTTTGTTGTTGTGTTTCCTTCCTTTCGTTTTTCCCTTAGGCACCTCCTCCCTCCCAAGAATTATGTCCTATTCATACGTCACAGAGACTGTGGCTAGGATAGAAGGGCATAACAGTGCCCTTGCCTGCTAATTTTACTAGTTGTGATTAAGGAAATGGTACTAGGTACAAATAAAGAGCACCTTAAATTACCGGAGTTGTGTATATTAAGGCTTTAAGTTTTCTAATGCTTTAATTTAAAAGATTAAAATTCTCAGTGGATTAGAGATTATTTCTATGACTCCTAACTTATTCCTTTTCCTTCAGCCACTCAATTATGTTTCTATATTTATTGTGGCTTTTAAATGAAAATAAACTTTGTTCCACTGCAAGACTCCTTAAAACATCAAACACAGTATCTTATAATTAATTTTAAAATCTTAATTCGCAGGAAAAAAATGGAAAAGCAATAGTAAGAGAGTCACAATAAACAATAAAAATGTTGATTAGGACGGTGAAAAGTAAACTACACAGTGGCTGTTCACAATGGTCTTCAAAAGAGAGCTTAAAAATCACTATTCTGTTTCAGTTCAGTGAAGCATTCGTTGAGTTATATAGATGAAACACTTTGTTTTTTTTCCTAAAGATGGGATAGGGGATAATTACCAGCAGGATTTTGTGTGACATACCTGTGGCAGTCAAAATCAAGATGAACTTAAATTTATTCTGACAGACATCTCTTGAATTATTCATCGTTTTTATAGAAAATACCCCCTTGACACTTCTGAAGACCTCAAGCCCCGATCTAATTCAAAGGCTTAGTTAAAGGATAAATACACAAAGTGTGTTTTGTGTCTGCATGGGTCTACAGTACATTTAAAAGGTGGCTGTTTTAAAAATATATATATTTTATAGAAAATCAAAATTAAAAGTAATTTTTTAACCTGATTATTGAAGAATTCTTCAAATGAAGTTAGGCTTTGTTTCATAACTAATGCAATGCCACCACGATGATCACATAAAACCCAAAGGAATTTTCACCTAATCAGATACCTAGTGAGAGAGGCTATTGCTTCCAGACCCTTACCATTACCAGGAATAAAAAATATCTGCACATTATTCAGATGGAGGGCTGTGCATGGTAATAGAATCAGGAAGTTGCTATAAATACTAGCAGTCCCACTTTTAATAGGTCAGGGCTAATTGTTAAAGCAAAGTTCCTGCTTTAACTATGGC
Source organism: Homo sapiens (assembly GCF_000001405.40). Lineage (NCBI taxonomy): Eukaryota > Metazoa > Chordata > Mammalia > Primates > Hominidae > Homo > Homo sapiens. Next base: position 29,971,730 of record NC_000012.12, on the reverse strand, counting down.
CATGCTGGAGTCCTCTCCTTGTAAGCCTCATGATTCTGCAGCTGCAGTCAGTCTTTGAGCTCAGGATATATGAAAGGCCTTCTGTGCTCTTCTATGATGAAAGAGGAAAGAGTCCCAGGGATGCTTTCTATTACTGTGCATCTGAAGGAAACAACCAGCATAGGGATTAACTCACCGCGTTTCCTGGATACTCCTTGAATCTGTCAGTGGCCAGACAGCTGAATTTAGCATACATCAATCAATCAATCAATGAATCAATCAATCAAACTTTGAATTACAGTCCTGGCTGCACTATAGTCATAACTATGGCCAAGAAGCACTAAAGGAATTCTTAAACACAAACTGTCCAGGAGAGTTTCTAGGGCAAGGCCAGAGTGGGTTAGCACAAGAGTATTTTGTGCTGTAGCCATAGCTATGATATCCACTAGCTGCCTCTCAGAGATGGCACCTGAAATTTGCTATCCCTTAGTTACTTCCTACAGTGTGGTTGGAGGGATAAAAAGGCCCTTGAGCTTTCTTTGCCAATTAAAGATGTCCAGAGAGAAGCAGTGAGCCTTTCTAAGGCTCAATGTGTTTTCTTTGTCTGGCTGCCTCTCCTATGTCTCCCAAAACAGCTTCCTAAGCTCTTGTGTAGTCCTTTTAAGCTCATGCAGCTTGTCTTCTTTGGCTTTTTAATAGAAACTCCTTCTGCCCCCAAATTAAATTCATCTTAGATGGGGCAGAAGTGTGTGTCAGGGGAAGTATGGCATTTAATTGTCTAGGAACTTGACAAGGACTGATCTTGTTTTTATGACTTAGGCATTATCTTAGATTTCTGCGTTAAAAGCTAGCCTCATAAGCTTATTTCTAGTATGGTGGGTGACAGAGATGGGAGGAACTTACTAAATGCCAGCTACATCTACTCTAAATGCAGCAAAAACAGCTAAGTCATATAATGGTGCTGATTTGGCTTCTTTTTAGTTTTGAGTTAAGGAAGTAAGCAAATTCCTTTGCTTCCTCAACTCCTGCAAACATGGTGTACCGGTGGACGTACAGCCAGTCCTCCTTTGCAGCTGCTTCTAAACAATGGGAATGTTGACCTATTGGATTTTTTTTTTACCCACATAATTGTGCATCGCTTAAGTGTTTTTAAAAGTGTTTTAGTAGGATTTCAGTGCTCTAAAAATATATCATTCCAGGCAGAGTCCAGTGGCAGAAAGGAGAAGTGAAATAAAACAGAAAAGAAAATCAAAAGTTAAGAATCGTTTTGGCAGACATTGTGTACATTTTTCTCTCTGAGTAATGTAGTTTCTTTACCCAAGGAACTTCTGCCATCTTGTACAAATAGCACTACATGAGTAGTGGTCAGCAGCCCCACCAGGCCCAGAACTCAGCCCCTGAGGCAAGAAGGATATTCTAATGCAAGAACTTGAAATGTATTTAATGCTGGTAGCTTTTGCCTAGTAGTTCCAAATCATACATGATTGGATGGTTACTTATTTTAATACTTTATGTCAACAATTTTCTTGTTGAGATGAAACTCACCATTGTTTGATTTTGATAGTGGAATATGGAGAGACAAAAGAAAAAGCAAATGTGCCTACCTTAAAGCTTGATGTACAATCAAATGGCTTAACATTTTCACTTTTTTTTTTGTTCCCACCATACAAGTGTCCTGAACAATGGGCACAACAGAGAAAGAGATATTGTCAGTGTCCTTCAGCTAGGTACATTTTACATCTTGGAAGTATCTTTAAGGAAATGGAATGTCAAGGGCGCTGTAATTTCAACAGTTTTAATTATGGTGTCACAGTCTCTTCTTCAGGCAGAATAATTAGAGTTTTCAAGCTTTGGGGACTGTAATATCCATCTGAATTAATTCTTTCTCTTCTCAGTCAACATTTCTTAACATGGCTTCCTGAAAATACTACTTCTGAGGGTTGTCCATGGCTGTTCTTAAGTGAGTGAGGTGGAAATGCAAAGTCCATTGGTCAGAGAAATTTAGAAAATGGCGGGTTAAACAAAGATAAATAGATTTCTTTATTGTAGTAGCCATGTGAAACTTTTTAAGAAGAAAAGATGAATACAGCATTGCCCAAGGAATGCTTTTGGGGGAAAAGTATTTCTCAAAACAAGTGTTCCAAGGGATATAATTTGGGAGAATCGTTCAGGATTATAATTCAGTTATCATACTCAGCTTATGTTATGAGTAACAAACAAGTGAGCTGAGATCATAAGTGATAACTTTGCCTTTAGGGATAGAGTTTTGGTTTTTGCTTACTGCCATGTTTATGAGTTGATAATGCAGTTACGTCATTGCAGAATGGGTTAGATTGGAGTCTTGAATCTTATATATTTATCAATATAAACCTTAGGTGTGTGGGTGATGTTGTTAGTGATAATAGTAACAGTAATGATATTTAACTTGTAACCTAGTCAGAATGAAAACAACTACTACAAAAAGACAGAAACATTAACAAAATGGTGGGAATAAAAAAAGTAATGGATTATTTATATATTTATATATGCCTCATGAGAAACTGAGAATTCACACAAATAATGAAATTATTTCTGTATTTACAGACTTCTAGGGGAAAAGAAATATGCTTCTTCATTTTTGCATATCCTCCAGTACTTGCCCAGGGATCCCTGGTATTTAATAGATAATTGGTGATTGCTCTTAACTGCATTCAAATAATCCATTCAATAGATGAGTTATTTAACAGATAATTGATGATTTAATTATCAATTGTATTTAATAGATACATCGATGATTGTTTTTAACTGAATTGAAATAACTCATTAGAAATTCAGTTATCACATACCATGCTAACTGTAATATCCTGCTTTATCTACACAGTAGAAAACTAAAAGTAACAATAAAGTGTTCTCTAAAATGTATTTTGAGTTTAAAGCTTCAGAAACAAAAATAAAAAACTTTAAAGGGTTCTCTTTTAAAATTTGAAATTTAATAAACTAATATTGGTAAGGCAATAAAATTGGTTTTTATTTTTAGCCTATAAATGCTTTTATCCCATCAGAATGAATAATTATTCTAAAAATTGTCATTATTCTAAGCAGATATAATCTTATCCCAGTCCATTCCTATAAGGTCATGGTTGCCTAGCTCAGTATGCATTGGCGTTAATTATTGTGTTTACCTTCAATTTTGTCTTTCATTAATGTTTTGTCAAGGGCTCTCACCAGATCCCGCGTAAGCTTAATGGGTTGTTTGTGCTCTTCCAGCCTCTCCATAATGGAATTGACAAAATTGCCTTGGTTATGGCAGTATAAATGCATCTTCTCCACCTGCTGGATTACTCCCTGAATCTTGGGATCATATTCACAGAGAGGCATGTGCTTTTTACTAATGTGTTTGTGTGTGTGTCTGTGTGTGTGTGCGTGTTCACGTTTTTCTTTAATCCTGTTAAGTGGAAACATTGCTGTTGGCTAATTATGAAATAATTTTACTATCGTGCATGACAATAACATTTATCATGGATGTGAAGTAAGTTTTAAGTTCAAAAATGGCCTCAGCTCTCCTGATGCAATACAAAATGAAGGGGATGCAACACACACTGAAAAATCCCATTACTATACTATTAAAGAAGATTTAAGCAATACAAATCAGTAATTTTTTTAAAAAACTGAAGTTGAAAACTCGGTACTATTTGATAGAAATTGAGAAGGATGAACACTGAGGATGGATGAAGAAATGCATACTGAGACAGAAATGCCATTTCAGCACCAGAAACCTCCTTCATAGAATAAAAGGAAATCAGCAGATGAAAAACATGAGTGCAGCAATTTTAGCATTTATTTAGATTGTAAGATTATATGGTGTTTATTATTTTACTCTACTGCTTTTAGGTTTTATGGCCATTTATTTCTTCATCTGTAGTTCTTAGGGCTTATTTTTTAAAGTTATAGCTATTTCTCAATATGTTTTACTTAAAGCCCAAGTAACAAGAAGGCTGGAAAATTTTCTTCTCATGCCTATTTGGGTCCCCGGATCACATAATATAATGAAAAAATTGATTTCAAGTACCATGTAAATGTGCATTTTTTTTCTTGGCTAATTCTTTTCAAAAAAAGCCAGGTTTAATGGCCTGGCTACAAAGTGCCATCTCATTCTTAGGAAAGAGCCCCTGCAGTGATGATATAACACTGTGCTGAGTGTGGCTGTACAGGAGAAGGATGGCAGAGATTCTTTTAAATTTCATTTTGCCAAGACCTAAGCAAGAGATCGATACTATGCTCTTTCTTTTTCAATTAACACAAATTGCCAGTAACTGTTTTCTTGTATTAATACACGTGAGTCCAACTTAGAAAAATATCATATTTTGGATGGTGAAAATGTCTCCTTTTGACAATAAAAAGCAGTTCAAACAAAACATAGGAATTTTTTTTTTTCTAATTCTATTTTGGTAAAGTCAATTTGATGACTATCCCTGCTACATAGCACTTTGTTGTTTTCAAAGTGTGGATTGGTCTGTATGTCATGAGGATCTTGCCAGTCTGTGAGAATGATCCTGTAAGAGAAACCGAGGCCCTGAGAGAATAAACGACTGGTATAAACTCACACAACTAATTGGTGACAGGACCTGGATGGTCACCTGGTTTACAGTCTGGTTGGTTTTGTTGTTTGTTTGGTTTGGTTTTGCTTTTTAAGTAGAATGGGTACATTTCAGTGTAGAATTTAATCCAGTTGATTAGAATGGTTATAATAGTTAAGATGGATGTAATACTTTCTGCTTTCCAGAGTTATTTCATGTCTTTTACCTTATTTAAGAGTTAGGGTAACTTCAGTCATAGCAATTATTATCATCCTTCTCCCCATTTTACAGTTTCAGAAACCAAGACTTAGAGATCTCATGTGACCTTGGTGCAGATTGTGGCAGACCAGGATGGAATCACTGCCCTTGGACTCCTCGTCCTGTTCACATTCCATGATCCATGCTGCCCAAGTAGCTTTCCCATCCAAAAATTGTATTTAAATTGAATGATTTGTGTTTTCCTCTTTGGAAGAAAGCATCCTTCAAACTGTGTCTTCCTGAAGGAGGTATTGAATTTCATTTATATTTCCCCAAGCCACCACCTCTGAATGGCAGCGAGAGGTGACCCAGAAAACAGGCAGGGCTAAACAACATTTAAATAATGCTGAGCTTTCTTTCCACCTTTTTTAAAGATATATTTCCTTCTAAGTAGCAGTAGATCACAGTCTGAAAGCAATGACTATATCTTAAATTGATTTTTGACTTGATTCTCTTTTGGCTTTTTTTATTCCTGTACCTCACAACAGAATGCTGCTTACTTTTTAAATTGTGTCCTGTAAAATTATTGTCCTTTTTTTTAAAAAAATAACTGAACCCTCATGTTTATTCTAAGAATTAAAGTTAGCTCCTGGATGTAAGCAGTTTAGATTAGATTTGGACACCCCCACAAGGTACAGGACTGTGCCTGTTTTTCTTTTATAAGTAAGGAAATTGTGCACTGAGGTCCCAGAAAGAAGATGTGAGAATAGAACCAAGATCTGTTCACTCTGAGCTCTGTTTCACCATCATGCTCTGCGGTTTCCCTGCAGCCACCTTGAGGCTAGAATACTTCCCAGAGTCCAAGATTAATGACATTTATGGAAATAAATGTGAGGCTTTGACCAGCCTAGAAACTCTAAAGATGAGGGCCTATCAGAACATTCCATTCCTATGGAAAAAATCTGGAGCTCTGGGGGCACATTTCACTGGGTCCTTGGAACCACACGGCAATTTACTAGGTCTGAATATTTTCACAGTAACTGAACTCTGAATATTATCCAAACACTTTAACTTCTTCCACAGACATTTGGGTTCGTCCATGAACCTAGAAGGTAGTCTGCTAAGATTCTGTACAACATAGTTCCAGACTGATAAAGAATAGGTTTCATGTTGATATTCCTTTTTTTAATTTAATTTTAGATTCAGGGGATACATGCGCAGGTTTGTTTTGTGCATATACTGGGTGATGCTGGGGTTTAGGCTTCTAGTGAACCCCTCACCCAAATAGCATAGCACCCACTAGGTAGGTTTTTAACCCTTGCCTTCCTACCTCCCTCCCCTTTGTGGAGGCTCCCGTGTCTACTGTTTCCATCCTTACGTCCACATGTTGATATTCTTACTTTACATTAATCACTGTTGGCTTTGTTTATAAATAAATCTATAGCAAAATAATCTTTTCCTGAAAATAGGCAAAATTAAAATTATTGTGTATGGCTAAGCAGAAGTCCATAAAGGCCAGGAAAATGTAATAGAATTTTTAAATTTGGGACATGAGAAAATCATTCCTATGGATACTCGGGTAAAATATTTGTTAAGGTTTATTTTTGAAACCAAAGATGAAAGAAAAACAATCTTTTTGTTATATAAAAGGTGGTAGTTGTAATAAACCTTAGAAAAAATTCAGAAGAAAATGTAGCAGTTAATTAATCAAGAAGTATAGAAGACTGATTTGATAATGCAATATATTTAATGCTTCTTTAATCTGATTCTTTAGCAAATTGATTTTAACGAGAATGAAGGATCAAGAAAAAAATGACAACCATTATTTTTGAAATCAGTTTAAGTATTTGGGGGAGTATTTTTCTTTTTGTCTTTGGAACAAGCCATACAACCTTTTCATTTCAAAAAAGGAAGCTTGGAAACAAGACAGCAGATCTCTTCTTCCCTGCTGTCTTCCTGAAGACTCAAAAGAATCCAAAATTCCAGACCCAATGGATATGACCACATTGTCATGCCAACATTCTAATTAGAACTCTGGGATTGGCAAGTTCTGTGCACACACACACACACACACACACACAGTGACACGTGAATATCCAGGTTGCCTCCAGTCGTCTTTATTCTTCATCTCACTCCCATTATGTTCCTCTCCCCTCCTCGTCCAAGTCACACCTGCCCTTTCTAGGGTTTTTTCCTGCATTTTTGAAGATTATTCCAGCATCTCATAGCAGTCACAGTCCTTATCAGTGCCATCTCACAGTGTCCTGAACTTTCTCCTTTTATCCTCACAGACTTGAGCATCAGGGCCATAGTTTTCTGTTGCTCTCTATCTTATTCTGTCATCCTTAGTAGCTACCAGTCCTGGTCCCTCAGTTCCTCTACACTCTGCACGCTATGGCCTTTCATCTCTTCCATTTCAAGCACTCACCAGCATGGCCAAGGCACTGACCTCTTCTTTACTGAGGTCTTCTCTTCCTTAATGACTAAATATGGAAATGCTCCTCTTTGACTTTCACCCCCTATCTCTCCTGTTTCTTCCTTTCCACCACCCTCTCTCCTATTGACCTGGATCTTTAAAAGGGTTATGATTAATATCTTCACCCTCTCAACTTCTCTGTGCTCATTTTTCCTCCTTCAGGCCCTAACTTTGTTTTTCCTTCTTTCCTTCCCGAAGCACCTGTGTTTCTCCTCCTCACTCCATCATCTCTGCTTTTTACCACGCTCTTTCCAACTGTCCAAATCTCTGGCCTCAACATTTCTTTGTGTTCGCAACCTCTAAGTCCATCTCTCATCTTACCTGGCCATTGAGTAGCACATATGGTGTCCCCCATGAAGGGTCACACCTGTCCTTGTAACTGTCACAGTAGCCCTCTGACTCTAGTGAGTACCCCACTGCCTGCTTTCTACTTTCCCTAACCCTCAATGGAGCTTCCAACTAGTAATGAATCAAAATCACAAATTTGAGGTGCATGGGATTTTCACAATGTCCCCCCCAAAAAAACACTAATAATAAATAGAATTCGGTTTAGGACTCTTATCAATTCATCTTTTGTGGGCTTTTGGTACCTCCCAAGTATTGTCTAGCATATTGATATATGTTTGGTATATATACCTCCTGTTGCCATATACATACATGTAGTACCAGAAAGAATCACTCTTAGTTTTAACTAAAAATATTGAGGTTACTCAAACTGAATAATTGCATTTTACCTTTACTCTGCCTCAAAGTGTCCCTGTTTTTGAGTCCCTCTTCTGTTGCTCTTTATTGGGAGAACAAATTGTCTTATTTTTGTAAGACTGCACTTCCACCTGTGTTCCTTTCTCTATTCCTCCCCACAACCCCACCATCCATGATGGTTGCTCCTTTTCTCATGTCTTCAGATTGTCCCCCTTCCTAGCTTCAAAATGTTGAAGACACTCCCAAGTTGCTATCTTGGCATGAAGAGGAGTCAGCACTCATTGCTTCTCCTTCCTCCCACCCACTCAGTTCAAGCTGCTTTCTTGAACATCCCTTGTGAATACGTAAGTTCTCTCAGCCCGCAGAATCCTTGAGTTTTATGAGATGAAGAATGTGACGTTGTTGAATGGCCCTCCTTTTGAAGCTGTCTCCTTTGCTCATGCGGTGTTACTGTTCTGCAGCCTTTGCATCTTGTCATTACTTTTCTTCTACCACCTCTAAATGTAGGGGCATCAGAGATAATCCATGATTGCCCATTGTCTGCACACATAAAAAACCTTAGCAGGCCAGGCACGGTGGCTCACGTCTATAATCCCAGCACTCCAGGAGGCCGAGGCGAGCACATCACTTGCGGTCAGGAGTTTGTGACCAGCCTGGCCAACATGGTGAAATCCCGTCTCTGCTAAAAATACAACATAAAAATTAGCCGGGTGTGGTGGAGTGCACCTGTAGTCCCAGCTACCTGGGAGGCTGAGGCAGTAGAATCGCTTGAATCCAGGAGATGGAGGTTGAAGTGAGCTGAGATAGCACCATTGCACTCCAGCCTGTGTGACAGAGCAAGACCTTGCCAAAAAAATAATAATAATAATAAAGAAAGAAAAAAAGCCTTAGCGTTTAAGGATTTCAATAATCCAGCCACTTTCTGTGGCTATGTTTTCACTACACTCTGAAACCGCATAAACCCAGCCCTCCGGCCAAACCGAATACTTGGCAGTGGAAAAACAAATCTACCTAAATACAACTTGAGGGAATACAAAGGAAATCATTGAAGAATTTGGTTAAAGTGGGAACTCTTCTGGGTCATCTAAAATGTGTTTCATTTAAATCTTTTTAATTTCCTCATATTCAAGTTTCTCTGTAAACCTGACTTATCTATAAAAGAACAAGAATGCTTATTTTTCTATATATCCACCCAAAAACTTGTTCACAAACCCTTAAAGAAGCATTATTCATAATATGCAAATGGTAGAAACAACCCAAATGTCCCATCAACTGATGAATAGACAAAGAGTCTGTGTGGTGTATACATACAAGGGAATGCGATGCAGTAATAAAATATGATTCAGTAATAAATACAAGTGGACTATTATTATACATGTCACCACGTGAATAGGCACTGAAAACATGATGTGAAGTGACAGAAGCCAGTCACAAAGTATCACATATTGCAAGATCCCATTTACATGAAAAATCTAGAACAGGCAAATCTCTAGAGACAGAAAGTAGAGGAGTTGCTACCCAGGCAGAGAGGGTAGGGGAAGGATAATTGGGGCGTGACATCTAAGGGCTGCAGGGCTTTGGAGGTTAATGAAAATAATCTAAAATTGTGGTAACAGTTGCACAATTCTGTGGATATACTGACAGCCACTGAATTTTACACTTCAAAGGGGTGAGTGTATGGTATGTGAACTATATCTCAATAAAGCTGTTTTTTCAAAAAAGAAAACACAGGAGCCATTTGGAACCTCTATTTTAGGGAGATAAGCAAGCTTCTTGGACTAGTTTTTCAAGGGTTACTTAAATGTAAAAGGAGAAAGGATATTTCAAAATCATATAAAATGATGTGATTATTACTTATTGCAGGTCTGTATCGAAGTATTTCGTGTACCCCATAAAAATATATACCTACTATGTACCTGTAATTTTTTTTTAATTTCAGAAAAAGATTATGCAATTTCTTAATAATATGAATGACTGTTCACTGTGACAATACAGATCACCTCTGGGATAGTATCAGATTGCATTAAAACTTCCTAATGCATTTATTTTGACTATGTAATAAATAATTAAAGAAAACCAGAAGCCAAATATGGTTTTAGACTCCATCTGTAAGGAGTATCATATTAACTATTTGAACTGGATTAGCAGATGTCAGAAAGAAAATGTAGTAAACTAAAATACTGTCTTAATTGGCCAGGTAAATGTTATAGGTAACAAAGTCTAATGGTCGTTTTTCCGTATTAATAACATCTGAAATCTCTAGGCCATATGTATTGAAAAAAATAAATACAATAAAAATGGTTGAATGGCTATACAAGTACATAACACTTCAGTACGTACTCTGTCCAGTCAGCCACAGGCCCACTTTGGTCTGAAGTCAGAGAAAAGAATGCCCTGAATCGTTGATGATTCATGGTGTAGAGTAGGTCCTGAGGATATGTTATTCTTGAGTCCCTCTCCTTCACTCCTTTTGGAATAGCTCTTGATTTCTTTATCATCAGCTCAGTGTGGTCACTGCTCTGCATTCAGGCAGCAGGACACCTGTCCTTGTTCCTTGCTTCTGCATATGTGTGGCCAGTTCTGTGCCAGGAGTGTGTGAGGTGAGCTGAGAAAAAACAAGTCCCAAGCCAGGGCCACTTGAAAGTGTGTGCAAATATATGTGCTACGTTCTTTCAGGGCTGAGGAAAAGCATAAAAGCAATGCTCTGACATTGGGACCTGGATGAGAAGGCAGTTAGGAATATCCCAATTTAGCCAGGTTGCATTTACCCCACAGCTAAATGGATGCTTTGATGATGCAGTTTAGTGCATGTCCCTAGGTTTAGACTTAGGGTGGTGGCTGTCTAAATCCTGGATCTGCCCTCATAGCTGAATGACGGGTTAAATGCTTCACCTCTAGGAACCTCAGTGGCTGAAGTGAAATGTGCTTTTTAATCTCTGCCCTATGTGGTATCGAGGACAACACACTAATGACTCTCAGGACTTTTGTTAAGAGTGTTCAGTTGGCACTGGGTGGAACCAGGGATCCTGGTTCAACAAGACAAGCGGTTAAAAGTATAAATTGCTCCGGCATAAAGCAATGTGATTTCCCTCTAGAAAGCTGCATTTCCTTATCAGTTAAACAGCATGAATAGGTAAGGAATTATAATCCTCTATGACCTTTCCCTTATATCAGCAGTTATTACATTTTAGAGCCTTAAGTATCACTTGGAGTGCCTGTTACAATGCATATCCCTAGGCCCCTCAATGATATAACGGGTCTGGGGAAGGGATCTGGGGATCAGCATTCGTAAGCCTCACACATGATGCTGATGTAAGTGGGGTTGAGACTACATTCTGAGAAACACTACTAAGTAGGATTCTCCTGATCATTTTATGCTTGATAACAGACAGTGTATCAAGATGCTAAGAGCTAACGAAGGAAAAAAAAAAAAAAAACTTCTCTGTGGAAATGTGAGCCAAGGGCACAGTGGCTGGCTGACTTTCCATAATAACTCTGGTTGCCTTGGTGATGAGAGGAGGTGGTGGGGGGGAACCATGGCACTGGGAAATGTTGCAATGGCAAGATAAATTTTTCTTTCGTATAAAAATTCTGTTCTGATTGTCCACCTTTGGTTAGGTGAGAAATAATCATGCTCTTGGTCCCATGAATCCAAATGTCTATCATGACATAAATAAAATATTTCCCAATGTTTTGCTAGCAACCCTCTACATCCCACTCTCTGTGTTTCCCCCAGAGACTTCCAAAAGGTCACATCTCTGAAAGCTGGGTACTGGGACCAGGAACAGCTCCATCATAGATTTTATAGAAGGAGCAATTACTAGAAATTAGATTATGATCACACGGTGCAAATTTTTCCAGTAAATATTTCAGAGGGTTTCAGAGGGAATTTTGCCTTTGGTTATCAGCAGTGAATCTTCTTTCTCATGTGTTGAATGACTAAAAGCATTTGCACCATCTCAGTTCCCTGGCTCTGTCTTAAGAACAAGAAATTTAGCAAAAGCAGCTTCTTCACATTTTCTTTTGGTTATGATGACTTGTTAGTTTATCAATTTAGATAAAGTGTTTAGCTTTCTATTTAAGGCTGTTAACACATTTATTTAAAGTGACAGCACATAGCTTGTTTTGTAAAAATATTGACATTTGGGGAGAATTTAGGAAATGCCAGTAGCAGAAATAAAAGGATTTGGTCATGGGCTTGGCAGCAGCAACCCTGGCATGCTGGGAAGCCCTCTAGATTACTACATCTTGGTTGTCTTTCTTTTGTGGTAGAAGGAGGGGCTGGATCACAAAACAAAGTCGCTTTCAATCAAAAAAGATTATTGCTTTCTTTTGTCTGACAGATGAACTTATTGATTAAATTAGATATTAGTACTTTTCTAAAATACCAAATTTTGAGATTTAAATTCTAAACAGTCTGATGAAGGGTATCTTCTTAAAGCATCCGTTTTCTCTAATAACTCTACTATATAGTCTGAATGCGTTCTTCATACAGAAAGAAAAAATGGATAATAGGCTGTGTATCACATCTCTGGCCAATGCAATGGAAATATAGCATCCAGTTTATTGGCTTTTTATAGCTTTTGACCTTTTACAGAAGCCACACAGAACTGTATGGGGACAGATTCATACTATGTGGTGTTGAAGAACAATTCTGTTTTTTCAATCTGAAGATCACACTTACTATAATTACCATTAAGTGATCGATTACCTGCATGCCCTCCCACCCCCAGTGGATTACAGTATCAGATTCGGGTCACTGTAGCAACAATGGGAGGATGTGGGGTGCTCACTCTATGTTGTGTGCGTAGTCAAACTTCAGCCACCTTTAACATCTCTCCCCCCAGTTGGAAACTGAGGAATGGAAAGATGGAAAGTTCTGACCCTGTCTAGTCATAGAGAAGCAGACATGGAGATGCAGCTCACACACAGACCTCACATGTGGCCTGGAACAGAGTAGGTCCTGAGGAAACGTTAGTCCTGAGTGTCTCCCCTTCACTCCTGCTCTATTGGAATGACTCTTCATACCTTTATCATCAGCTGGGTGAGGTCACTGCTCTGCACCCAGGCAGCAGGACACCTTCCACACTGTGCCTTGCTCCTGCATATGAAGGGCCAGTTCTCTGCTGCTGTGAGTGTCTGGAGGTGGGCTGGAGGAAGATTAGTCCCAAGCCAACGTCACTCCAAAATGCACACAAATATATATGTTAAATGCTTTTGGGATTGAGGGAAGCATAAAAACAATGCTCCCAGGTTGGGACCCAAAAGGGAAGGCAGCTAAGAATATACTGATTTAGCCAGGATTCATTTACCTCATAGCTAAAGGGATACTTTGATGATTCAGTTTCATGCATGTCCCTGGGTTTAAGCTCAGGCGGATGGCTAAATCCGGCCTCTGCCCTCACCAGCTGAATGATGGGTTAGATGCTTCACCTCTAGAAGCCTCAGTGGCCAAAGTGAAATGTGCTGATGAATCTCTACCTCTCTAGGTTCTTGTAAGGGTGGAATAAAAGAACATGAGCAGTGTGCCTAGCAGAGTGTCTGGCACATAGAAGGAGGCAATAAATGTTAGTTCCACTTGTTCCTTCCCATGCTCACTTAAAATTTCCACCAGAAGCTCTGTGAGCTGATTTTCCACTAGGAAGAGGATATCACAACGAAAACAGACACTGTCAAAAGCACATGTTGCCCCTGAAGAGAAATGAGATGGATCTTTCCATTTTTCTTGTTGCTGTGCTGGTAATAAAAATAACTAACTAATGTGTATTGCAGCCTAACTATGCTTCTGGCACTGTGCCAACCATTTTACATACAGCCTTTTAAAATACATTTCTAGGATAGAGGAATTATTATTGTTATTTCTTATTTTATTTATTATTATTATTACTCTTTGTCTACTTTCTTTGGGCTTGATTTGCTGTATCTTTTTTATTTTCTTGAAACGGAATTTCAAATCACCAATTTAGTCTTTTGTCTTTTCTAACATGCATTTAATACTAAAATTTCACTCTAAGCACTTCTTTAGCTACACTTTAACAATTTTAGTATGTTGCATCTTCATTTTCACTTCCTTTAAAGTATTTTCTAATTTCCAACATGATTCTTACTTGAACTAATGATGAAATGTAGACATGTGCTTTTAACTTCCAATCAGTTGGAGATTTTCTAATTATTATTCTGTTAATAATATGCAGTCTAATTCCACTGTGATCAAAAAACATACTCTGATTGATTTTAATCTTCTGAGATGTGTTGATGTTTACGTTATGGACTGGCATGTGGACAGTTTTGCTAGGTGTTTTATTATGCACTGGAAAAGAGTATTTTCAGTCATTGTTGGCAAGGGTGTTCTCTAACGTCAGTTAGGTACGTTTGTTAATTGTGGTATTCCAATTATCTGTATACTTCCTGATTGTGTGTGTGCATGAGCTCATTCTATTAGCTATTGTGAGTATTAAAGATTTCTGTTTTTGGTGTGAGGCATCACTTTCTATTTTTTTAATCAATTTTTCCTTTATATATTTTGAAGCTATTATTACTGGTTTTGTGCAAATTAAAATTATGATATCATCAGTAGATAGACCTCTTTATCATACTTAAATGTCCTTCTTTATTGATGGTAATATACATTGCCTTAAAGTTTACTGCCTGATTGTAGTGTAGCCAGGCCATCTTTCTTTGGGTTCCAGCTTGTAAAATATATAATTTCCTGTTCTTTTAGTTTTAAACTTACTGTGCCCTTATGTTTCTGATTCTTGTAGAAGTTATTTGAGATATAATTTGCATACCACACAATTCTTTCATTTAAAGTATAAAATTCAGTAATGTTAGTATATTCATAGAACTGTGCAATTATTGCCACTATCTATCTATTTTAGAATATTTTTGGTACCCCAGGAAAAAAACACCATACCTGTTAGCTATCACTCTCCATTGTCCCCCCATCCTTCCTAGCCCTAGGCAACCACAAATCTATGTTCTGTGTCTATAGGTTTATATATTCTGCACATTTCTTATCAATGGAATCTTACAACGGGTGGTCCTTTATGACTGGCTTCTATCACTTAGCATCATGTTTTCAGTGTATGTTTGTGCTGTAGCATGAATACTGACACTCCATTGCTTTTTATTGCCATATCATATTTCATTGTATGGATATACTGGATATTTGGGTTACTTTCACCTTTTGACTATTATTAATCATGCTTCTATGAGCATTCATAGACAAAGTTTTGTATGGATGTATGCTTTCCGTTTTCTTGGGGTATGTAGGAGTAGAATTTTTGGGTGAAATAAGTCTATGTTTAACTTTTTGAGAGACTGCCATTGCTTTCCAAAGAGGCCATACCATTTTACATTCCCACCAACAGTGTTTGAGGGTTAGATTTCTCCATATCCTCAACAACACTTGTCATTATATGACTTTTTCATTATAACCATCTTAGTGTGTTTGAAGAGGTATTTCATCACAATTTTGATTTGCATTTCCCTATTGACTAATAATGTTTGGCATTCTTTCATGTACTTATTGGCTCTTCATATGTCTTCTTTGGGAAAATATCTAGTCATACCCTTTGCTTATGCAGGATCCTATTCAGATATTTTAATTGGGTTCCTTGTCTCCTCTTATTGAGTTATAAAAGGTCTTTATATATGCTAGATATAAGTCCCTTATTAGATATATAATTTTCAAAACTTTTATCCCATTCTGTGAGTTGTCTTTGTACTTCCTTGGTAGTGTTCATTAAAGTACAAAAGTTTTGATTGTGAAGTCTAATTTATTTATATTTCTTTGGATGCTTATGCTTTTGGTGTTATATTTAGGAAACCACTGCCAAATCTGAGATCATGAAGACTTATACTTATGTTTTTCTAATAGTTTTGTATATTTAGCTTTCACATTTAAGTCTTTGATTTGTTTTGAGTTAATTTGTGAATATGGTGTGAGGTGTGAGGTAAGGGTCTGACTTCATTTTCTTGCATAGGCTATCCAGCTATCCCAACATCACTTGTTGAAAAGATTATTCTTTCCCCATGTACTTGCCTTGGCAACTTTGTCAAAAAGCAATTAATTGTAAATGTGAGAGTTTATTAGAGGATTCTCTATTCCATTCCACTGATTTACATGTCTACTCATATGCCAGTACCACTTTGTCTTGATTAGTGTTGCTTTTTAGTAAGTTTTGAATTTGGAAAGTGTGAGTTCTCCAACTTTGTCCTTCCTGCTTATGATTATTTTGGCTACCTTAGGTCTCTTGAATTTCCATATACATTTTAGTTTCAGTTTGTCAGTTCAAGCAAAGAATTCAGCCAATATTTTGATAAAGATTGCATTGAATCTGTACATTAATTTTGGGAATATTTTCATTGTAACAATATTGAATCTTTTGATCTATGAACATTGAATCTCTTTTTATTTATTTAGGTCTTCAGTAATTTCTTTTAACAATGTTGTTTTGGAATTTTCAGAATATGAGTTTAACATGTCTTTTGTTATGTTTACCCCTAAGTATTTAATCCTTTCTGATGCCATTCTAAATGGTGTTGTTTTCTTAATTTCATTGCAAGTTTGCTTATTGATACTGTATAGAAAAACAATTCATTTTTGTACATTGATATTGGTATGGTGCAAACTTGCTGAACTCATTTATTAGTTCTAATAGTTTTAGAGGATTTCATAGGATTTTCTATCTACCAGATATTACAATACAGATAGTTTTACTTCTTCATTTCCAATCCAAATGCATTTTATTTTATTTTATTACCTAATTGCCCTGGCTGTTACCTGCAATAAAATGTTGACTAGAAGTGGCGAGAACAGATATTAGGGGAAAAATGTTCAGTCTTTCACCATCCTGTTTATTTTTTTCTTAGCTAAATATTCACTCTACAAAATGCAGGTTCACATCTTTGCCTGACTCTAATGTCAGCTGAGTGGACTGTGAGCTATTGGTTTGCCATTTAGACTCCCTCACCTCAGTGTTTACTTGAGAATGGGGTTTCCACAGTTAATGACTCTAGTTTGTTAGTGGTGTTATTTTACATTTATTGCAATTCTGTGGTTTCTACATGTATTTTATACGTGGATATAATATGAAGATTCTGTCAAAAGTCTGTTCAGATATTTGAAAATTCTTACACAGGGAAAAACTATTCTGAAGTGTTACTTAAATTTTCTGTGGGGCAGTATGAACCACAATATCTTCCTTGATTTTGGAATGTAATTTTAAAAGTGGAAAGATAGGTTTTAATTGAAATTTTTAAAATGTTTCAATGAGATAGATAATAGTAACTCCCCCTCCAACCCCCAAATTGCCTCATATATGCCAGGCACTTTTCTTTTTTTTTTTTTTGTATTATTATACTTTAAGTTTTAGGGTACATGTGCACAATGTGCAGGTTAGTTACACATGTATACATGTGACATGCTGGTGCGCTGCACCCACTAACTCGTCATCTAGCATTAGGTATATCTCCCAATGCTCTCCCTCCCCCCTCCCCCCACCCAACAACAGTCTCCAGAGTGTGATGTTCCCCTTCCTGTGCCCATATGTTCTCATTGTTCAATTCCCACCTATGAGTGAGAATATGCGGTGTTTGGTTTTTTGTTCTTGAGATAGTTTACTGAGAATGATGATTTCCAATTTCATCCATGTCCCTACAAAGGACGTGAACTCATCATTTTTATGGCTGCATAGTATTCCATGGTATATGTGCCACATTTTCTTAATCCAGTCTATCATTGTTGGACATTTGGGTCGGTTCCAAGTCTTTGCTATTGTGAATAGTGCTGCAATAAACATACGTGTGCATGTGTCTTTATAGCAGCATGATTTATACTCCTTTGGGTATATACCCAGTAATGGGATGGCTGGGTCAAATGGTATTTCTAGTTCTAGATCCCTGAGGAATGGCCACACTGACTTCCACAATGGTTGAACTAGTTTACAGTCCCACCAACAGTGTAAAAGTGTTCCTATTTCTCCACATCCTCTCCAGCACCTGTTGTTTCCTGACTTTTTAATGATTGCCATTCTGACTGGTGTGAGATGGTATCTCATTGTGGTTTTGATTTGCATTTCTCTGATGGCCGGTGATGTTGAGCATTTTCTCATGTGTTTTTTTGGCTGCATAAATGTCTTCTTTTGAGAAGTGTATGCCAGGCACTTTTCTAAGCATTTCCAACTGCTTAATTCTCATGAATTATGTAGGTACTATTATTACCCCATTTCAAAGATACAGAAACTGAAACATATGAATCTAAAATAATATACCTGAAAAACACAGCTAATAAGAAGGAGAGTTGGGATTTGAACCCAAGAAGTCAGGATTTAGAGACTGTGCTCTTGAACACTAAATGGGAATAGGGTAAACAGCAGAGCCTGGCAAGTAGTAAATGCTCAATAATTGGAGGTTCTAATTTTTAGTTTCTTATTATTCCAAGTGAAGTAGGGATTACTTTGCTTTCTTTAGGAACATGTCTCTGCGATTTGCAAGGCTACACCAATCCAGACACATGAACAAAGTACCTAAAATGTTCACCAACATCATTTGAAAACAGGATAACTTATATAGGGAGATATACTAAGAGTTAGAAATATACAAAATTGTAACACTCTTTTTTATCTATTTAGCAAACATTTGTTGACTTGCCACTATGCGCAGATCACTGGGGTCAAGGAGTTGTAATAGGTTAATATGATCAGGTCTGATTAAGGAACTGGAGTCAGGCATTTCAGTGTTGTCACTGAGTAAGTAGCTCAGCGACTGGGCAAATGCTATGATCTCCCTAACCATTTCGTTTTTTATTTTGGAAAGGAAGTACTATTGTCTATTTCAAAGTGTTTAATGAGAATTGTGACACATTATAGATCACTAAGCATGGTATCTGGGAGAAAGAAAATGGACAGTAAATAAGTAAATTTCTGGGGTGATGGGAATGATTGAGGTGACGGTTACATGGGTATATATCTATTTATGAAAACTCATGGAACTGTATACAGAATTGCACACATTTATTGTCTGTAAATATACCTAAAAACATTTGATTAAAAGATAATCAATTACCATCAACACGCCTCTTGGGATGGATGACTTCTTTAGAAAATTTTTTTTTAACATCTTTCAAAGTGGTGTGAACCAAATTTGTTGGTCTTCAGTATCTATTGACTCCACAAAAGCTCCCAAGCCAACATAGAGTCAGTCTGCAATGTAGATCTAAGAGGAAATATTCTCTGTACCTGAAGGCTTGGCATTCTGTAACACTCCAAGGCCAAATTAAGTTACGTGATGGGATGCTTTTATTTGTAGTGAATCTGTCCTTCATGGGCTTTTTAGAGGTACAGATTCCCCCAAAGAAATAGAGTGTCCAGTGAGTGACTTTGAAAATACATCTTGATATGACAAATAAATGTTTAATGGGGATCTGAAATATTTAAATTCATCACCCCTGTGAAATGCCAGGTACTCTAACAGGCTTGTTATGTAAGAGGTCAGTCCTTGGATAAAATCAAATAAATTAAACACTATCAAATTGCTGTCTTTTCTATTTTTCTGCTGAATTTGAAAATCTTTCAAGTTAAATTGCTGTGGAGCCAATAAATCCTACAAAGTTTCAGCATTTGTTTGTTTTTCTTTTTCTTTTTCTTTTTTTTTTTTTTTTTTCTGAGATGGAGTCTTGCTCTGTTATCCAGGCTGGAGTGCAGTGGCACGATGTCAGCTCACTGCAAGAGCCATTAGCATCATGTTTTCAGTGTATGTTTGTGCCTCCTGGGTTCAAGCCATTCTCCTTCCCCAGCCTCCCCAGTAGCTAGGATTGCAAGTGTGCACCACCAAGCCCAGCTAATTTTTGTATTTTTAGTAGAGACAGGGTTTCACCATGTTGGCCAGGCTGGTCTCAAACTCCTGAACTCGTGATCCACCTGCCTTGGCCTGCCAAAGTGCTGGGATTACAGGTGTAAGCCTTCGTGCCTGGCCTCATCATTTGATTTCTAAGTTTACTCTTCTTTGAGACAGATTTTCAAGGAAGAAATTGGTTAAAAGTTTCAAAATACTTAAACTGGAAGAACTCTCTTAGCCATAAAATTCATAATAAAATTGCCAGAACTCAAACAACAATAACAACAAAAAACTTCATTTTAAAAATATGTGCTCATTGAAGAATTACTTCAGGGTATACTTTAATGTAAAAGCTGATTATGTATAAACAAAAAAGACTTCTGTAGTGTCTTGCACACATTCTTTAAATGTCTGTTAACTAATGAATGAATTGACAAGAAAGCAGCATTAAGGGAACTGCAGATACAATTTTCTTATAAACAAACAACTTTAAGACCAGGAATTGGCTGAATCCCAATAAGCAGGGAGTAGCATGTTTGGCCACTTCCTTTGGGAAATCACTAAGGCCTGCACCTCACACTGTGCCTGGCACAGAAGACATGATAAATGTTTGCTAAAATGAATCATTACATCTAAAGTCTGTTTATGGGAAATACAATTTTTTCCAAGGTCTGTGAGAGCAAACTGACTTCTACATGCAATCACCTTGTAATGAGGGCACTAAAGAACAAAAATATATGGGTCAAAATGAGCTTTCTCTCTACAGAATTTCATCCTGCAAAGAAGGGAGAGGTGGGGCTTTTGTAGCAGGTGCTGCTCTCTGCTGCTTTGATCATTCATGGAGTGGTTCCACTGAAATCCAGCAGGCAGACAACCTGCTGGGATCTTGTTAGAGTCTGGGCCGGGCATGGTGACTCACGCCTGTAATCCCAGCACTTTGGGAGGCCAAGGCGGGTGGATCACGAGGTCAGGAGATCAAGACCATCCTGGCTAACACGGTGAAACCCCATCTCTACTAAAAATAGAAAAAAAAAATTAGCCAGGCATGGTGGCACGCACCTGTAACCCCAGCTACCTGGGAGGCTGAGGCAGGAAAATCACTTGAACCCAGGAGGCAGAGCTGGCACTGAGCCGAGATGGTGCCACTACACCCCAGCATGAGCGACAGAGCTAGACGCCATCTCAAAAATAAATAAATAAATAAATAAATAAATAAATAAATAAATAAATAAAAGTACAGAGTCTGTCAGTGAGTCTGGGTGAAGCCTGAGACCCTGTATTTTTTTTTTTTCCATTATGTTCTGGGATATATGCGCAGAACGTGCAGGTTTGTTACATAGGTAAACATGTGCCATGGTGGTTTGCTTCATCCATCAACCCGTCATCTACATTAGGTATTTGTCCTAATGCTCTCCCTCCCCTTGCCCCCGACCCCCCAACAGGCCCTGGTGTGTGATGTTCCCCTCCCTGTGTCCATGTGTTCTCATTGTTCAGCTCCCACTGATAAGTGAGAACATGCGGTGTTTGGTTTTCTGTTCTTGTGTTAGTTTGCTGGGAATGATGGTTTCCAGCTTCATCCATGTCCCTGCAGAGGACATGAACTCATCGTTTTTTATGGCTGCATAGTGTTCCATGGTGTATATGTGCCACATTTTCTTTAGCCAGTCTATCACTGATGGGCATTTTGGTTGGTTCCAAGTCTTTGCTATTGTGAACAGTGCTGCAATAAACATACGTGTGCATGTGTCTTTATAGTAGAATGATTTATAATCCTTTGGGTATATACCCAGTAATGGGATTGCTGGGTCAAATGGTATTTCTGGTTCTAGATCCTTGAGAAGACCCTTTATTTGTAACAAGCTCCAGGTGATGCCAAGATGGACGTTGATGAGCTGCATTCTGTGCAGTGAAGGTGCTGGGAGAAGAAAGTGTTTGTTAAGAATGAAAGGGTACAGGGGATGCAGACACTGCACCCAGAGTCAGGACTGCCATGTGACCATACATGCCACTTCACTTTCCCAAGTCCAAAGCATCTCACGGGGAAAAGGGGCGTAATAGCAACAGGATGGTAATACTCAGCTCATGAGATCTTGTGAGAGTTAAACGAATAGCTTGACGTAACAATGTAGGCACATGCTTTGTGCAGAGTGATGCTCAGTAAATGATTGCTTACTGTAAATAGTAAGCCCAGGTTAGATGCTCTCTGTTGTTCAGAGGGCTCCACCCTTCACTCCCCTACATGCCAACGACAGTGCCCAGCACTGAGCAGGGGCTCAAGCAGCATTTGTGAGGTTCAATTAATAGCCTAGGAAACCAATGTCTGTATGTTTTGGCTGTAAAGACAATTATTAATACCTGGATAATGGCTCCCTGCAGCACCAACAAAAGAAAATCTTCATCAAGAAAGTGGTCACTTCTAGGACTTGGGCCAGGTTCCTCTGAGCCAGCAGTGGGAGACAGAGGTAGCTTCTTCCAACAAAAATACAGCATTAGAATAGCTGATCTTTCTTTTCTGCTGATGTTGCACATGCCTCACGTTTCATAAATTGTGCATGAAATTTATCCATCCTTGATACATGGCCAGTCATGTCCCTGGCAGGTGTCTTTGCACCCTTGGAGTACAGCCTGCAGTGGTGTGATTACGGCCTTAGGGTCCCAACCATCTTCCAGAGCATTGTGGAACCGGCCTGGAGGACACCGGTATTGCCCCTGGAAGATGCTCTGCTGAAGGTCAGGTGAAACTCTTGTGAATAACTTGTATAATACCAAACAATATTCCCAAATAGCATAGCAGAAATGCAGTAGAAAAACTGGAGAATTACCTGCAGCCTCACTTGAATCTTAAAATCTCTTTCTACTGAACATTCAGAGGGAGAGAATTTGTTGGCCCCTTGAGAAAGCCTGGTTTAATTGACTTCAGGGGAAATTCATAGTAAATCACTAGCCTTAAAGAAAAGCAATGAAGTATTGAAGCCTATTCAAAGTATTTAGACAAAGTGTTATTAATAATATACAGATCTCAGGAGAAAACATCTTAGTATTTAGATGAAGTGTTGTTAATAATCTACAGATCTCAGGAAAAGACACTGAAACCATAGCAGAAAGGTGATAGCTTATTGCTATGGTTTCAGTGGCTCCCCTCCAAAATTCAGGTGTTGCCAATGGGATAGTATTAAGAAGTAGGGCTGTTAAGAGGTGATGAGGTGATGAGGGCTCCTCCCTTGTGAATGCGATTGAAGGCCCTTATGAAAGAGCCTTCACACAGGGTTCAGTTAGGTTGCTCTTCTGCTCCTCTGCCATGTGAGGACACAGTATTCTCCCCCTCCAGAGGATGCAGCCCTCACTAGACAACCAAACCTGCCAGTGCTTTGATCTTGGACTTGCTAGTTTCCAGAACGGTGAGAAATAAATTTCTCCTCTTTATAAATTACCCTGTCTGTGATATTCTGTTATAGCAGTGCAAATAGACCAAGACACCTTACTAAAGTGTTTAATTAAATATGGTCCAGAGTTTGCATATGGGTATTCAAGCTCTGCTGCTTTATTGATGAGCAGGTAATTGTTTCCATTTAATTTCACACAATTTTCTTAATTTATTGTCAATTTTTATAAGTGATGATTTATAAAATGTATAAATTAAGATTTCTGTAAATACACATTTTCATATAATGGCTTTAATTTGGAGGCTCTTAACTGACACTAATCACCATGATCATTTGCTTTTGATAAAAATTATAAGTCTAGATTTCTTACACAAATATTTCCCACTCTAGAGTAGGTGAGTTTTAGGTCAGGATAATTCATTTTATTGATATATTCTCTATCATCTTGGGGAAAAGTATTTCATGAACAATAAAAGCTGTGATTGCTTGCAGCTTTTATTAATCTTTCTTCAGGCTTTGCTTAGGAATTGGTTACCTCACAACTCAAATGGATCGAATTTTATATTCTTATAAAATTTGCACCTTAATGCCTCTTAGAGGATCATGGAAGGTTGTGATGATGGCCTCCTAAGAGATAATATTTCTAATGGCCCCCTACACGTGTGGTTTACTTCTCCTCCTTTTTTACTTTTATGTAAATGATTTGACGCTGTTTTTCAATATTCTAGATGCATGTCCCCTGCTACTGAGATTAAAAATATAAATCATCTTCTCTAAAACAATTACATAGTTTTGATAATAGTAAGAAGTACCCCAAATAGACAAGAGATCCTATGATTTTTTTTTTTGCCAGAGATAATAACTTTAAAATCGAACTCAACTTTTTGACAGATGCCCCACAGCATTCAATCAGCTCATAGCTAGTAAATGGTTCTATGCAGTAGGTCAGTTACATAAGACTATAATATGTAGTCAGTTAATCCTGGAAGAAATTGGGACAGTCTATGGATATTTTAGGAGACTTTTCCATGGCTGTGGTATGGGATTTTAAAGCAGGAGGGTGTTTTAAAAATATATCTTAACTAAAATAAGGTCAGCTGTGCTCTGTGGTATACACCACTGGGTCTCCTGCACCCATTTGCCAGTGTATTGAAGTAGACACACAACTGCTCTTTGCAGATGATATTGGTTCTGTCCAATATCTATCACTTTTGTGAGCGTCTCCAGGCCCACCTGGCCTTCTTTTATTTTCAAAAAGGACTCTTACCCTGCCCTCTACCTGGCTGATATTCAAGAACATGACATGTTCCTTAGTTTGCAGCTGAGCAGATTTCCAGTACATGTTCTCACCAGAGACTACATCCTTGGAACTCTCTTCTGTGAAATTCTCATCAAAACCCAGTTTTGAGACGTAAGATTTATAAAGAGGTTAGCCTACTGGTCTTCCTGCTATTATTTCAGTAGACCATTATTTAGGGTTTTGTGCTGTTTTCTATGCTCACTTTTATCCCAAATATCCCTATACCTTCCTTCCTCATTTCATTCATGTCCCTACTCAAGTATTATCATATGTAAAAGTGCTTTTATAAAGACTCATTCCAGAATAGCAACACCACCTCCTGGTTTAGATTTTTTCACAGCATTCATCATATAGCACTTACTCATTTGCTTTATTCATCCCTGCAATAGAATATAATTTACTGCGATCTGCCTAGTGACCATCACATAATAACTGCTCAATTAAATTTGTGGCAGGAATGAATGAGCACAGACTGAAGAATGTGTAGTTCTCCCCTCTTGTAGGTGTTATAAATTTTACTCTTGTATCAAGATGTCCAGATCACCAGAGATCTGGGGCATGCAAGGCACACTGTTTGGCATCCTTCATAAAATTGCTTTTAGCAGGCTGTGCTCCAGCTAATGTTCTTGTCCTGCGCTGAGAAGCATTATAAGAAATATTCATGTGAATTACTCATTAGAGTTATAGGTTTAGAGATGGTAAGGCCATCACCTAGTCCATCATCAGGTGATTTCTCTATGCAAACACAAGGACAAATGCCCTCTCCTGAATTATAGATCTGTTTTTCCCTAACGGATAAGCATCTTTTTTAGCTGGATCTGTGACTCTGATGAATGGCCTTGTATACTGTGCTTTTCTGTTGGGTAGTCTTACATTTACTCCTGCATTTATTATTTTCCCTTAGTAATTAATTTTATACAATCTTTATCTAGCTTTTCACATGCTGCTTCAATTCCTTTGCGGAAAGAAAGGACATAAGGGTAAGAAAAAAAATGAGTAAAGCATGCAACTAATAGTTCCCAGTTTGTTTCTTTTTCCCTCGCTGAACTCAGCAAGGATAGATGATAAACATGTAATTGCTCTCCCAAACAAAAATTACTCTTACCAAATAGAAATGATAACACACTCGTGTATTTTGGGAATACTTTACAGATGTGAATGTGATTTATATTTACTCATACAGATTCATCTTCCTATGATGTCATCTTCCATGATTCCACCCATTCTCCAAGATCCAGTTCAACGTCCCTTTCCCCCAAAGAGCATTCTTACACCTCGCCAACTTTGTTCAGTATTCTTGAAACATTTCTGGTACATACATCAATGAGCAAACTAGTCATGTAGTTTCTGTATGAACATATTGAACCGTGACTTAAATCTTGTATTGATTTCTAGGTTTGCAGGCTTGTCTCCTGAGCTAAGATGATCCATTTCTGGAAGAAAAGCACTATGCTTTTTGGTGTATTTACTTCTCCCTCAAGAGCTTCATGTGGTTCGTTGTATACGCCAAGCACTCATTGTAGTGCAGTTTTTCCTGACTTAGTGTACTTTGGATTTCATTTACCCTTCCATGTGATGTACAGAGCATTCGATGGTGAACCTGGAGTCCTGGCTTTTAGATCTAGCTCCCCCAGTAACCAGGTTCATGGGGTACAGCAGAGGTTTGACCTCTCCAGGTCTCAGTTTTCAAAGACTAAAAACTATTCAAAATTAATTTTTCTCTTCCAGTTCCAAAATTTCATCAGTTCCTGCTACTTATCCCCTTCAATATCAACACAGTACAAATCAATATTGTAATGAATGACATAAATCTCTATTATAATTAGTACTGTATTCCCAGTGCAAATAAAGTCTAAATATTTTAAAATGGATTTATGTCTTCAATAACACTCTGAAGTTTTAACCGAACCTTCTCAGATAATGCAAAATTGAACCTTAACCTTGGAATGATTATGATTCTAAGTTGGTGAACTCCACATTGCTGAAAAGTTACTGTTTTAAGTTGAGTGACCTTGAAATTGATTTCAGTTTCTTTTTGCTTATCTTTGCATTCATCTTACTATTGAAAACTTTTCAGAAGATGGAAGTTTTTAAAAGATAAAAAATAAATATTTTTGTCTTCATTTACGTTTAAGAAATGATAGATGTCATATTTTACAATCAATAATATGATAGATTTAATTTTAGTGAACCTCAAATGTAAATTGATATGAAAGTGTTTATTTCACATATTCGAAGTTGTAAGCAAATTTAAAGAAAAAGAGAATTAGTAAGACCATAATCCTGTTCTATATCCAAAGGTGGCATCCCTTGCAAATCTTTCTTATGTTAAATGTGACTCTAAAATGCTATGAGATCTGAAAAATAAATGCAAAATCAGAAAGATTTCTTCTTAAGCCTTTTGGGCAATTGACTTTAGCATCAAAGAGGCAGAATAGCCACCAGTGGGCATGACTCAGGATCAGCCACCCCTCTCTGACTTTCATGATTACATCATCATGTTTTGAATTCTGTAATAACTGGGGTATACTCCTATACCCATGCAAAGTACAGATAATCTATTAACAAAAAACCCTCTTGACCCAACATCCTTTAGAAACAAACAATTCCTTTTGTGATGCTACCACTTTTTTTTATCATCCCAGCATTTCAGGTACCCACACTATATGAAATCATTGTTTACAAATTTTCATCAATCTGTCACAACTTGTGAAGTCTTTTGTCTAGCCACCTGTTCTTTTTCAGTGACACTGTCTGTCCACACATACACTGTCCATGCTTACTGTAGATGTGCGTGCATATCCAGTTACGGAGAGAAAAGAGGATTATAAGGACAATAGCATACATCAGCATTATTTTTCTTTTCTGAATTCAACCTCCTACAAAATATAGGAATCCCATATATAACACACTGCAAAGGGAATTATCCAGCATTTGCCTGAAAACTTCCAGGAAGATGCATCTTACTGTTACACAAAGAAACATATTCTATTTTTGGACCAATCAAATGGTTAGAAAGCTCTTCCCTATACTTACTTAGCTGAAATCAAGCTCCCTGTAATTTACACCTGATGGGCCCTGCCCTTCTTCCACCTGCAAGCCTATTAAGTTTTGGGGCATAGCTATCACATAGTTTCTCTAATTGTCTTTCCTAAACCAAATGCTCTATTTTTTAAAGTGTGTTCCATATATACCTGTGTTTCCATACCATTATCTTTCTGGTAAAATTGCCTTGCCTAGCCTTCAGATTATTTATTTCTCCCCTCAAAACATGGTATACAGAATCTAAAATAACTTTCAAACTGTAGTTCGGTAAGTTCAGGGAATGAAAGAACATTTACTTGCTTGGCACTGGAATGATCTGTAATCTACCCTGAACAAATATTTTTTGCATCCACATGACTGTGGCTCAGATGGGAGATGCAGCCAACATAAATCTCTATTCTTGTTGTTGTTTTAATGTGAACTTTTGTTAGGCTATGTTGCCACCATGGTGAAATAAATCTGAGTGAAAGCATTCACATTTGGCTGTATTTCATTTCAGTTTCTTGATTTCAGCTTGAAACTTTATGTTTCCTGGGATTTCTTGATTTTTACTCTGCCCATCATCGTCTTAATTAGCTTTTCTAGCTATTTTAATTTACAAATTTGATAAGAATGCCTTTTGAATATTTACTTAAGTCATTGATTAAAAGTATTAAATGGAGCAGCACTGATGGTAAGCTTGTGGCTTGTCTGTGGACTCTTCTCTTCAAACTGACCTCTATTTTAATCAAGATTTTTGGAGGCAGTTATTCATTCAGCTATGAATTTACCTACTTTATTATCATCCAACTCACAGTTCTTAGTCTCATCTATGCTAATTACCATGAGATTTTTTTTTGGTCTGGTTCCTTGCTGAAAGCATTTCCCTAATCTAAGCTAACAAAGTCTATCAAAATTATGGTTACTTTGGAATGACTTGTTCTTATTGCTTCTATTGATCGTATTTCCTACCCTTAGTGACCAAAAAAACCATGGGTATCATAATTCCTTCTAATATTTCGCCTGTGACTGAGGTGTCCATTAATCTGTTATTTCTGGAACTCACATTTCCAATTTTTAAAAATTAGAAAAATATTAGGCTTAAATGGTCTGAGACCTTTTCCATTAGCCATAATTATTTAATAATTGTGCTGTTCTATAACAATAGTATTACTTAGTAGTTACATAATACCTTCAAGTATATTCTTACATTGGTTCTTATTAATGTCTTCAGAAATTCCACAGATATTTCCGTGGAAGTATCAAGAAGACCTAGAGTAAGGCATCATCAAATTGATAGACTTGAACAAAAGGGAGGAGTGAGACAGACGGATGGATACAGAGCATGGAGGTGAGCCCAGCATTGCTGGATCATAAGGTAGCTCTTTCTAAAATTTTGGGTGGAAACATCATATTATTTTTTATAATGGCTACCAATCGACATTCCTACCAACAGTGTATAAGGGTTCTCTTTTCTCGACACCTTCACCAGTACTTGTTATCTCTTGTCTTTTCTGTAATAGCCATCCTAATATGTGTCCTGTGATATCTCATTATGGTTTTGATTTGTATTTTTCTGATGATTTATGATGTTGAGCACCTTTTCATATACCTGTTGGCCATCTGTATGTATTTTTTGGGAAAAATGTCTATCAACTCCTCTGCTTCTTTTTTTTTTAATCAAGTTATTTGTGGTATTTTGTTATTGAGTTGTATGAAATCCTTATGTACTGTGGAGATACGTATATACACAAGCATATATATGTAACCCTTTATTAGATATGATTTTCCATTATATTTTTTCTATTACATAGGTTGACTTCATTTTTCTTGATTGTTTCCTAAGCTGTGCACACCTAGACCAAATTTTGCATGTACAATTCATCCTCCCTGTACAGGAAGATAGATAGAAGGAATTCTAAAGATGGCCCCACTAAGACTCCCATCTCTGCTTATTCCATTAGACACTAGTCTTGGGATTGCTGTTATGGAGGGACTTTGCAGATCTAATTAAGTCCCAAGTCAACTGGCCTTAAAATACAGATATTATTTAGGCAAGCCAGATCTAGTCATGTGAGATCTTTGAAAGGCAGAAGAGGAAGGAAAGAGAAGTCAGAGAGATTTGAAACGTCAGAAAGATTCCAGGCACCATTGCTGGCTTGAAGATAGAGGGGCCCACATGAGAAAAAATGTGGGTGGCCCATAAAGAGCAGGACCCCAGCCATAACCAGCAGGGAAATGGGGGGCTCAGCCATAGAGACACAAGGAACTAAGTTCTGCCAACAACCTGAATGAACTTATAAGTAAATTAATCCTCTGATTCTCTAAATAAGAACCCAGCCCAGCCAACATCTTGACGTTGGCCTTGTGAGACCCTAAGCACAAAACCCAGCTGAACCCAGGACTTCTAACTTACAGAACTGTGAACTAATAAATGAGTGTTGTTTTAAGCCACTGAACTTGTGCTAATTAGTTATAGTGCAATAGAAAATTAATATTCTCTCTATATATGCATATATATGTTAAACTACTTACAAATCTATAACCTATTCTATTGTCTTGTCTTTATATTATATAAAATTTGCATGTCTTTTATGTTGCTACATGACCTTCATAAATACCATCTTAGTGGCTACTTAGTAGTTACTAAATTCATGTATTAGAAATTATTTAATCAGTATCCTCTTGTTGGTTATTTAGATCCCTTTCTATTTTCTGTGGAAATGAATATCTTAATGTGACAACTTAAAGATGGATTTTTGATAATTAACTTAAGACAGATTCAAAAAGTAGAATTTGGGGGTTAAAAGGTATGAGATATTTCACAGCCACTCATACTATCCTATGATGGCCAAGTCAGTCTAAACTAAATCTGAGCTGAAAGTGTCCAGGAATATGAACAGTTACTGTGCCTGGAAGTATAGAGAATGCTGGACAAAATGGCATGAGATGAGCCTGGAGAAGTAGACACTTCCATTGTATGCAAAATATAGAAAAAAAGTTGTTTTTGTTTTTCCCTTTTCATGTTCTCCTGACAGTGCTGTAGTTCTGTGGCTGCTGGCTCATGTCACACTTTTTCTTGAGCTTTTATTTGATAATGTTTGGCATTTCCTCTTTAAAGTGATATTTCCCTCTTGCTTAAATTGTCACAGTTTTGTATTGATCACACACTGCTAGCTGCAGAGAAAACCCCAAATTAGAAAAGAGCCAACATTTGCTGAGTAGGGGGGTGGAGAGAATGCCAGATTAAATGATTCATTTCAGCCATATGTGAAAGATGAAGTAGAGAGCAGATACTGAATGTGAGTTTCTCAGGAAATGCCCATATTGATAACAGATGAGGGAGAGGACTGTTTTCCAGAGGAAATCAGTGAAAAGATAGAAGATGAAAGAGACTGCATACCCATTATATCTTTTGAATTAGTGGATCTTGGATAGCATGTGCCTTAAAGAAATAATTAAAATGTCTTAATCCCCTTTGGCATCTGTGATTGCCATTATGAGTTGCTACAAATTAATCACTTAGAAAAACTGGAACTTATTCTTTCACAGTTCTAAAGGTCAGAAGTTAGAAATAAAGTTTTGGCAGGGCCATTGCCCCCTCTGGGCACTAGGAAAAATTCTTCTTTGCCTCTTCCAGCTCCTGGTGGCTCCATGCTCTCCTCAGCTTCCTTGGCTTGTGGCCCCATCACTCCACTCTCTGCATTTGTCTTCACACTGCCTTCTCTTTGTCTCTGTCTTCATCTCTTTTATCTTTTGTAAGGACACTTGTCATCGGATTTAGGGCTCACCTGGGTAATCCAGAATGACCTCATGCCAAATCCTTTAATCAATTACATCTTCAAAGACCCTTTTTACAAATAAGGATACATTCAATGATTCCATGGATTTCAATGTGGACATATCTTTTTGGGGGCCACAATTCAACCCACTACAGTCCTTAATATACCAGAAGTGTACTATTTTAGGATATAGTATATTTCAGAGAAAAAAATTGGTTCATGAGAGATAACTTATGACCGGTCATTAAGTAGGGTGAAAATACTTCTGGAAAGTGGTTCAGCACATGTCCATGATGGCAGGGCACTAGAACGACCTTCCAGTGGTGACAGCCTCAGGTTCACCTCACTTTCTATGGCTCCTTCATGAGCTTGGAATACCAGCTCCTTCCCTTCTATGCAGTAAATATTTGTTATTAGAGAGTATCTTTAAACAATATTTACATGTTAACATTTCTAAGTGTAGCATTTTCTAATTTCCATGGTGTAAATACTCCTGCCCTGGCCTATTTCAGTCTGCCAGTGAGACAGCCAGGTGGGAGGGGGTCCCTCCACCAGCCTGCACACTGGGGTAGGTCCTTGGGAAGTTCATGCAGTTTGCAGTGGGGAAGAACCTGGTCCCTCCTCTTCCTGTGTTGAAACCTGGGATTCAAACTGTGAGGCGGGAAGCACTCTAGCAGGGGACCCTGGCCTTGCGGAGAGTCCCTGTTTCCCCCTTTTTTTCCTTTTCATCCAATAAAATCCTACTTTACTCACCCTTCAAACTGTCTGTGAGCCTAAATTTTCATGGTCATGGGACAGACAAGGACCCCATATTTAGCTGAACTAAGGAAAAGTCCTGCAACACCAATAGGACATCACTGACCACAAAGTAGGGAATAGATGTGTCCAATTAGATCCAGCACAGCACTATCAGTAGACAGATTTCATTTTCATTAAATGAAAGAAGGACTACCTGAAATCAAGCTTCAATACATAGATGATAGTATTACTTAGGATAAATGCACTGCCTATGCCAAGAACAAAACAATAAATTGATTTTAAATATATGTCATGTATTTTCTCCCTTCAGTGATTTCTCTTCATATTTTTTAAAAATGATGTCTTAATTCCTTCTTGCAATTCAGAGTCATGAGTGAAAGGAAAGGAAGACAAATAATGAGGACATTTTCCACTGAACCAGAATCATTAAGACTACTCTTGGGGGTATGGAACTTAGACGTGTAGTTATTTGATCTTAATATGTGTGCAAATTTGAAGTCCCCTCTTAAAATTTTGAACTTCAAAATTTGCATTACTCATTGAAACCTAGCTGAGTAATGCAGTTTAGGAGGGAGAGGTGCTAGATAAAAATCTGTGCTCTCTGTGCCTATTTTAGAGCAGCAAAAAGCCAGGGGAAGTAAGATTAACTCAGGTAATAGTGATTAACTAATTAAGGCAATACTAATTAATTCAGATAATAATAATAATTGCAGTATTGTTTATTCATATTCTGTGTTAGGAATTTATCTTGTGAGAGAACTGATTTTAATTTGTTCAGAGAAACACTTCCAGCAAGTTTGTTCGTAAGGGTGTTTTCTGAGATACAAAGTACCTGTGGATTTTTTTAAGTACATATTTATACACACATAATGGTAGGATTAGTGCTTGGGAGAAAGGGGAGAGGGGCTTGGATGAGTTTTGGCTGTCCTTCCTCCGTTTCCCTCATTCCTCCCCAGGAATAGAGAGTTTCCCCAAGATTCTCCACAATCTTTCCTGTGAAATCCTGATAGGGCCGGCCCTTGTCCTGGTTATGAAGTTGCATATCCTACATCTCAGGATCCCCTTCAGTCCCACGCAAACAGGGACTGGAAGTTTTGTCATGCTAGAACCTGGTGATGTTCCTGGAGGAAAATTCAGCAAAGATGTAGGACCACCTTCCCAAGTCCATGGTCCCCAGGGGCTTCACTCTCCCAGCTGGCCCATGCTCAGCCTTTAGTAATTTGTGAACATTTCTGGTTTGATTTTCCTGCTGGTTTATAGGGTACCTGCCAGCTTCTTCCCCATGCTCAAGTCCTGTTTCTTCCTGTAGGCATCTGGTTTGAGTTGGTTATTTGCCCTGCAACCTCAGTTATCTGATGGGTTCAAGAAAGGCCATTAATTTGCAGTTTTCCCAGTTTTTTTCTATTTGTAAGAATGGAAGTGATGTTCTTTCCAGTTTTCTACATCTTCCAGCTGAAACCAGAAGTCATTGAAGGGTTTCAATAACTGAATCTGAAGTAAATAAACATGGATATGCATTATTGGTATTTTTAAATAATTAATATTGACATAAGTGTCCACTATATTTATAGAGTGAATCATAGCACCTGGTTCACAGTAGTTGCTCGGTGAATATTAGTTCTTTTCCTGTTTTACTCTCTCCTCCCCCACCACACCCCCCAGTGCAGATTTTAGTGTTAATTTTTTAAGTTTTTCATGTATTTTCTTTGTTGTTCTCATTGAAAGAAGTAATTTAAAGAAGGCAAAGACATGAATTATGCTGGAATAAAAAATTGTCTAGAGAGCTCAGACTTACACAACTATGGAGTTTCTTAGCTGACACTGACAGGTGAGATTAAGAAGAACCTGTTCTGTTGAGGTTAGATAACACTGATCAGGTCTAGCTATCTAGCAAATGGCAGTAACCCAAATAATGCATCAGAAATAAAATTCAGAGGGCTCGGCAAGATGCTCAGAATGTTGACAGCCATATTGTGCCTTGGGACCATGATTTCTCTAGCTCTCCAAGTTCAGCTCAGTAAAATCTGCCCAGTTCTTACAATCATATCCCTAAAGAAAACCCTCCAGGCTGCAGGAACTAGTATTGATGATTTATTGAGCAGCAGACTTCTTTTTACCTCATTTATAGAAGCTTTTATAAATCTACAATGAGGAAATGTTCCTCTACCATGATGCAGAAATTTCATTTAAATCTAGACTCAGAAACAGGGTAGACACTAGCTTTTTATAGATGAACAAACCTCCAGCATTGCTCTTTCTTTTCTTATTTAATATACATTATAGAACTACGTTTACTATACCTTATAATGGATAGAATGTGCTTGTACATCAGGCACTCTCTAAAATGTTCTTGCTGCTGTTTATTTAAAGCAACCCTATATGGGAAGGGATTCTATTTGCTTTATGATCTGGGCAGAACCACATATACTCTTGAATATAATGAATACTCATAAATAATAAAAAGACAAATTTTAGGCTTAATGCAAAAACATAACATCATTCTCATTACCCAGTGGACTTTCAGCCTTGCAGTAAAATTCTACTTTCATTATTTTACCAACCTCGATTACACACAGAGGTTTTTATTTTCTGGTAAATTTGAAGGTTTTTTTTCTGTTTTCAGGATTATAAGTTATATTTTTAATTTATTTAATATTGACCTGCCTAAGAAGTTTGCTTGATTTACACTTAAAATTGTTGTATATTTCTATGTGCTGACCTGTTAGTAACACAATACAAATAGTTATGCACTTTAAGAAATCAAAACCAGAAGAGTCTTCAAGGGAATTACTAGTTTAGCCCTCTTCTACTTCAATAACAGACAAACCCCTAAAGCAGCTCACTGTTTATCTTGCCAACAGTATTCTTTCTCTTTGCCTTTATGTTTGTATACTTACGAAGTTCCCCTAACTCCCCACCGCCGCTTACTGTGTATCTGTAGATAGACCTGTTTTTGTTACCTGCCAGTCAAACTTGCATTCTAAAATAGCACACCTGAAAAGATTACTGTACAGAAAATGAACATTCCACTAGGGAAAATTGTATGTAGGCAATTTCAGTTACCTACATACAACTCACTAGGATGCTTCTTTGGAGAAAATTATCTCGACTAGAAAAAACTGATTCTGCTTTTCCCCTGAACCTCACTTGCCCTGAGATCTTTGTCAAGGCATTTAACCTCTTTGTTCTTTAGTTTCTGTGTCTGTAAAATGGTAATTTTTGTCTATTTATTTAGATCTTTTGCATCCCAAGAGGAATTTCAGGTAGCTAAGTGGTTTTTTAAAAAACCGTTAGGATCATATGAGATCATACAAATGAAAGACTTCAAATCCATACACTTCTCTAGGTAAAGGCAAGATGGCCTTATCCTATGGTTAAAAGTCCTATCAGAAGAAACACTAGCAAAACAAAAATGTATGTTTTGAAAAGAAATTTTCAAGGTTCAACTGATATATACTTAGGGCAATATATCAATTAATGTGTTCAAGCTTAATTGAAACTTAATTGAAACACACCTTTGGAATTTGCTATAGGATGATTTTCTTTCTACAATACAGTTGGCCCTCCCTATGCGACCTGAACTGCCTATCATGGACTGGGTGCTTTCTGACTCATTCTAGATATAAAGTGGTTCGTGCATAGCAGCATTCCATCATCAAATGGAAGTGGTATATATGTGATCAGGCTCGAGCAGGTCCTGAAGGCACAAGTGAGTTACATGAGGAAGTGGCTCAAATGCCCATGGTCTCCACTCCTGCCACCCTGTCTTCTCTCGCCTGCACCGATGGTCTCATGAGAGAGTTCCCTGTGATCAGTTGACAGAGGAAGAGAAGACTAGGGCCTGATTCACAAATGGTTCTGCATGATATGCAGACACCACCCGAAAGTGGACAGCTGCAGCACTACCGCTCCTTTCTAGGACATCCCTGAAGGACAGTGGTGAAGGGAAATCTTCCCAGTGGGCAGAACTTCGAGCAGTGCACCTGGTTGTGCACTTTGCATGGAAGGAGAACTGGCCAGATGTGCAATTATATACTGATTCATGGGCTGTAGCCAATGGTTTGACTAGATGGTCAGGGACTTAGAAGAAGCATGATTAGAAAATTGGTGGCAAATAAATTTGAGGAAGAGGTATGTGGATGGACCTCTCTGAATGGTCAAAATCTATGAAGATATTTGTATCCCATGTGAGTGCTCACCAATGGGTGACCTCAGCAGAGGAGGAGTTTAATAATCAAGTGGATAGGATGACCCCTTCTGTGGATACCACTCAGCTTCTTTCCCCAGCCACTCCTGTCATCTCCCAATGGGCCCATGAACAAAGTGTCCATGGTGCCAGGGATGGAGGATACGCATGGGCTCAGCAACATGGACTTCCACTCACCAAGGCTGATCTGGCTATGGCCACTGCTGAGTGCCCAATTTGCCAGCAGCAGAGACCAACACTGAGTCCCCGATATGGCACCATTCCTCAGGGGATCAGCCAGCAACCTGGTAGCAGGTTGATTATATTGGACCTCTTCCATCACGGAAAGGGCAGAGGTTTGTCCTCACTGGAGTAGACATTTTCTCCAGATATAGGTTTGCCTATCCTGCACGCAATGCTTCTGCCGAGACTACCATCCATGGGACTCACGGAATACCTTATCCACCATCATGGTATTCCACATAGCATTGCCTCTGACCAAGGCACTCACTTTACAGTTAAAGAAGTGCAGCAGTGGGCTCATACTCATAGAATTCATTGGTCTTACCATGTTCCCCATCATCCTGAATCAGCCAGATTGATAGAATGGTGGAACAGCCCTTTGAAGTCACAATTACAGTGCCAAGTAGGTGACAATACTTTGCAGGGCTGGGGCAAAGTTCTCCAGAAGGCCATGTATGCTCTGAATCAGCGTCCAATATATGGTATTATTTCTCATATAGCCAGGATTCACGGGCTCAGGAATCAAGGGGTGGAAGTAGAAGTGGCACCATTCACCATCATCCCTAGTGATCCATTAGCAAAATTTTTACTTCCTGTTTCCATGACATTACGTTCTGCTGGCCTAGAGGTCTTAGTTCCAGAGGGAGGAATGCTGCCACCTGGAGACATAATAATGTTTCCAATAAACTGGAAGTTAAGATTGCCACCTGGACACTTTGGGCTCCTCCTACTTTTAAGTCAACAGGCTAACAAGGGAGTTATAGTGTTGGCTGGGGTGATTGATCCAGACTTTCAAGATGAAATCAGTCTATTACTCCACAATAGAGGTAAGGAAGAGTACACATGGAATACAGGAGATCCATTAGGGAGTCTCTTAGTATTACCATGCCCTGTGGGAAAATTCAATGGGAAACTTCAACAGCCCAATCCAGGCAGAACTACAAATGACACAGACCCTTCAGGAATGAAGATTTGGGTCACTCCACCAGGAAAAATACCATGACATGTTGAGATTCTTGCTGAAGGAAAAGGGAATACAGAATGGTTAGTAGAAGAAGGTAGTCATCAATACCAGCTATGACCACATGACCAGCTGCAGAAACGAGGACTGTAACTGTCAAGTGTATTTCCTCTTTTTTTGCCTAAAAACATGTTTGTGCATGTATACACTTGTACTAAGAAAATATCTTCATTTTATTGCCTTTTCCTTTATGAGGTGACATGAGATTTATTGACTTCATATTAGCATTTAAATATTGTTAACTTTATGTAATAGTATTTGGAATTGGTGTGTTTCTGGTTGTGTGAAGGATAGTTGTATTACATTAGGCATAATTATGACCTTATTATTGACTTTATTTGAAGATTATGTATGATCTCAGGAGATGTGTATGGGTTCAAGTTGACAAGGGGTGGACTTGTGATGGTTAATACTGACTGTCATCTTGATTGGATTGAAGTATTGATCCTGGGTGTGTCTATGTGGGTGTTGCCAAAAGAGATTAATATTTGAGTCAGTGGACTAGAGAAGGCAGACTCACCTTTAATCTGGTAGGCACAATCTAATCAGCTGCCAGCTAATATAAAGCAGGCAGAAAAACGTGAAAAGCTGAGATGGGCCTAGACTCCCAGCCTACATCTTTCTCCCATGCTGGATGCTTCCTGCCCTCAAACATAGGACTCCAAGTTTTTCAGTTTTGGGACTCGGACTGGCTCTCCTTGTTCCTCAGCTTGCAGACAGCCTATTGTGGGACCTTGTGATCATGTAAGTTAATACTTAATAAACTCCCCTTTATATATGGGTGTGTATATATATATATATCCTATTAATTCTGTCCCTCTAAGAGAACTCTGACTAATACCGTTTGGGATCCATGGATTCAACCAACTGAGAATAAGAAATATTGGAAAATAAATAATATAAAGAAAACAATGCACTGTGACAACTATTTATATAGTACTTACATATATTAGATCTTAAATGTAACCTAGAAATGATTTCAAGTATATGGGAGGATATGCATAGGTTATATGCAAATACTACACCATTTTATATAAGGAAATTTTGCATCCACACATTTTGGTATCTGTGGGGGTCCTGGAACCAATTCCTTATGAATGCTGAGGCACAACTGTAGTCTGTTACCAGATTCTCCTCTACTTAATAATGGAATTGCATCCAGATAAACCCATGGTAAGTCAAAAATACTCTAAGTCAAAAAATTCATTTAATGCTTGCAATGCAGCAGACAGCCTAAGATTTAACCATGGGTTTAACTTATGTGTGGGGAAAAGCAAGAGAGATCAGATTGTTACTGTGTCTGTGTAGAAAGAAGTAGACATAGGAGACTCCATTTTGTTCTGTACTAAGAAAAATTCTTCTGCCTTGAGATTCTGTTAATCTATAACCTTACCCCCAACCCCGTGCTCTCTGAAACATGTGCTGTGTCAACTCAGAGTTAAATGGATTAAGGGCGGTGCAAGATGTGCTTTGTTAAACAGATGCTTGAAGGCAGCACGCTCCTTAAGAGTCATCACCACTCCCTAATCTCAAGTACCCAGGGACACAAAAACTGCGGAAGGCCGCAGGGACCTCTGCCTAGGAAAGCCAGGTATTGTCCAAGGTTTCTCCCCATGTGATAGTCTGAAATATGGCCTCGTGGGAAGGGAAAGACCTGACCGTCCCCCAGCCCGACACCCGTAAAGGGTCTGTGCTGAGGAGGATTAGTAAAAGAGGAAGGAATGCCTCTTGCAGTTGAGACAAGAGGAAGGCATCTGTCTCCTGCCTGTCCCTGGGCAATGGAATGTCTCGGTATAAAACCCGATTGTATGCTCCATCTACTGAGATAGGGAAAAACCGCCTTAGGGCTGGAGGTGGGACCTGCGGGCAGCAATACTGCTTTGTAAAGCATTGAGATGTTTATGTGTATGCATATCTAAAAGCACAGCACTTAATCCTTTACATTGTCTATGATGCAAAGACCTTTGTTCACGTGTTTGTCTGCTGACCCTCTCCCCACAATTGTCTTGTGACCCTGACACATCCCCCTCTTTGAGAAACACCCACGAATGATCAATAAATACTAAGGGAACTCAGAGGCTGGCGGGATCCTCCATATGCTGAACGCTGGTTCCCCGGGTCCCCTTATTTCTTTCTCTATACTTTGTCTCTGTGTCTTTTTCTTTCCTAAGTCTCTTGTTCCACCTTACGAGAAACACCCACAGGTGTGGAGGGGCAACCCACCCCTACACTTATGTTTTTTTTATTTTATGATGGTGAAAGTGATAAGCATTCAGTAGAAACTGTAACTCCATTTTATGTCATAAGGAGCTCTTTAACTTATTGGTTTATGTCCTGATAAGCCCATCATAAAGTCAAAAAATTAGAGTCAAATCATCCTACGTCAGGGACCATCTGTAATTGTCTTAACCTAAAACAAGAATGACTTGGGTAAATAACAGCCACTGATGATTTCAGAATATCATATTAACTAGAATGTTGGCCAGTAAACATATTTATTAAACTTCCACAAATAAAAAAAGATGTGAGGTTTGTTTGTTTGTTTGCATGACCAGACTCATCCTGAAGCTACCTAGAGGCTGCCACCTACCAGTCAACTCGTAAGCAGACAAGAACATCACTTTGGAGTTTCTTAGGGTTTTAGAAGTTGTAAGCCAGGAAACGAGTTTGAAGACCAAATATATGTTCTTTGGTGATTGACATAAATAGTGGATGGTGTGAAGTTAGACCATGGCAGGAAGAAGAAAATCAACAATTGATGGTGTAACCCACTAAAGAAGAGAGATGGTATTAATTAAAATAATTAATCATTTTTAAATTAAGGAAGCTCTGGTATTAAAAAAAAAACTTTACTGGCACACAATTTCCATTATTAATGGGCGATCAATCATAGCTCAAGCAATCACATGGTCCTGGTGAACCAGAGGAGACTCTACAGGTTATTGGAAGAAAACTTCATGGCCGAAGAATGATAAAGATCGTTTTCTTCACTTTGCAAGTTGCTCAGAAACCTAAACATTGCCCATTAACCTTTCCACTAGTTGGAAGAGACCTGCTCTTTAGGTATTAACAATTTTCAAAACTTTAAGTAGTATCGATTCCCTTTCTCAAAATAAGAAATAAAACACTACAAATCCTATTCTAATTAATGGATGATCAGCTTGCTGATTACAACGTGGTGTTAATGAAGCTAAAATTGGAATTCATTCTTCTACATTTTATTTAAGGTTGTGGTTTTCTCTATATGTCTAACAAAAGCTAGCATTTGTTTTAAATGGGATTTATATAAAAGACTGTGCATTAGCAGAATAAGTCTGTCCTTATTGATGATGATGATTCCTTGAGGTACTGCTTCCATATTGGCAACTCAGTAGAGAGAGTCATTCTCATATACAGAAGGTAGTGGCATCATTTTATTTTTTACTCTTTTCTAGATATAAGCTGAAACATCACAATAAAACATAGTTTCAGTCTACAGACAGTCCTTTTCAAATTTTTAACAGCATTTAGAAATGTATTGTTTTCAGACAAGTATGAATGCCAATTTAGTGCACTGTAAGTGACATGAAAACAGGTGAGATTATCTCCTTTGGGAGCAAGAACTATATTACAACACTGACAATATGAAGATGCTTTGCAGACTTACAGGGAGGCTGCAGCACACAGGGAACTCCTCCTGGCACTGGTGAGTGGAAGACTGCAGAAAATAAAGCTGGAAAGATGAGTACAATGTGCAATATTGGGAGGCAGTGATAAGCCTCAAAACTGGAGCCAGAATATCCATAACAGATCTATTTTATAAATATTAATGTGAAAGTAACAGCAGTATTAGATCCTTTCACCAAAACCATAGACACCAAAATTGCTTTTTTTATTTCAATTTTTCAGTTTCATGCACTTCCTTCTCATTAAATATGCAGTCAATGAACTGCTTTTCCTACAAGGGTGCTCTTCTCTTTAAACCATATGAAGTTTTCCAGCACTGCGGCTCTGCATCATGATTTAACATAGTCAACTTTTATTTAAAAGCACAAGCACTTTATCTGGGTTTTCTGGGGCATGCTTGCTTGACTAGCATGCACATGCTATGCACGTGCTGTACACATGCTTGACACACATGCACATATACACATGCATGTGAATACATACTGAACTATAAACTGTGGTACATACAGCCCTCCCTGTGAGTCACTAAATAGATGCTGAGCATTTTTGTCAGGGACGTTTTCTGAATGCTTCTATTCAGGGATGCTTTGTTTGGTAAGGTAATACCAAAGTATCTGCTAAGCCAAGGTCAGAATGGTTTTGCAGGCTCTGGTTTGGCCATGATAGGTCAGACAATAGGAACTGAAAAGATGACAAACCACATTGTGAGACTGGATCACTTGAATGTTATTGCCCCTTGTCAGCAATCTACAACAAGCGGGACAACCATGGCAAGGAAGGGAAGGGCATTGTTTAAGGCTGTTTGGATTCATGGGTAGAAAGTAGTGTGTACCTAAGTGATTCTCCAATTTGCACATTTACAAGACTGAGGTATCTTTAATATCATTAGTTGACATATTCTATTTTATAAGTGCTTTTTTCCTGGTTCCCCCTTAATTCCTTAGATTTCCATCTTAAAATTTTCTTGGCTTATGTTTGGTATAAAAATTTTATGGGTTATTATTTGAATTTGTTTTCAGCTATTTTTATTACGAGGAATACTCATATTTGTGTGCTTAATTGTTTGCCATGTTCTTCCTAATCTATAGCCCTGTATTTGCCTTGTAAAAAAGCTTATAAAAACCCTGTGGAGCAGAGGAACCACCCTGTATATTATAGTAGCTATCATCATTATCTCCATTATAAAAGTCACACAATCATTAAATTCATGAATTAGTTCAACAAAAATGTGCTGAATGCCTGTTGTGCTAGATTATCATGGGAGGTAACAGGAATAGAGTAGGATTAACAGAACAAGCAAAGGGAACTTCACTCGTCCTCATTGAAACTTACAGTCCAGATGGGTGGCAGATGTTAGACAATCACACCATCACCTATTAAAATTATGACTGTACTCAATCATGACATGAAGAACGACATAGTCTCAAAGAAATTGTACACATAATGGCCCTACGAAGGTGAGAATGGGGCCTATCTAAGGAACTGAGAATGAGGGAATAGGAACATGATGGGAGGTGCAAATATAGGGCTGAGCCACGTAGTTTGTTTATTATCCTTGGAATAGTGGAGATTGTGGTAGTTTTAAGCAGAAGAGCAACATGATCTGATTTTTGCTTTGAAGAGATCTCTGCTGGGGTGCAGTGGGTACTGGAGGCAGAGTGGGCACCTGGAACTGAGAGGCACATGGTCACGGCAAATGTCTGACCCCAAATTGTGTTTTCTTTCAGGTGTATCACATGACCTCCATGTAAAGTGATCAGGGATATCTCATTGTCACTCACTCATAGATGGAAAATTTGTGAATTTGCCAGGACCACATCATTTCTCAATGAGAAAGTCAGGAATAATGTGAGTGTTTTGATTCTCACCTCACTGCATTTACTTCACACACCATGCCAATTAATGCATAGGAATAAGAAGCATATTTTTATTTTATCAGCTCTCAACTTGTCTCAGTTTCCAAACTCTGTGGTCACTTGATGCTGTAGACCAAAGAAAAACCAAAGAAACTTAGAGTCATATATGAATTTTTTACAAAAAGGAAATCAACTAAGAGAATAGAAACTTCTTGACAAAGTTCTTGAGATATAAACAATTAGTAAAATTGAGACATTAAGTCCATGAATTAAAATTAGTACTCTATCAGCCTTAATGTAAACTGATGCAGTAAAACCTAAGATCACTCGCATGCTTGTAAAATGAAATTTCTGATTAGCAGACATAATTTACTTCTCTAAATGAGCCTCTGTTTTCTTTTTCAAGCTCCCACAACACCTCTGGATTATCTTCAGAATTACTACCTTTAACTTGGTATACACAGCATTCCACATTTTGTTCTCAAACCAGCTTCTCCTCTCCCTTCTCCTCTCCCCTCCCAATAACTCTACTCCTGCTGAAATATTACATAAATGGTTGTGGATATCTTCACATCTGTGTCCTTGGAATAGTTTCCCCAACCTTGATCTGACTCCCACTTATCCACCAAGAAACAGTTGCATCCTCCTTTCTCAGGAAGCCCTTCCTGCCCATCCCTGTTGACAATGACCTTGCTTCTCTTATGCTTTTAAAATACTTAGTGTCTATATCAATTACTTGAAAGCCATCATATATTGCATTGTCTGTAATATCCTAAACAGAACTGGAAGTTTCTTAAGAGAGGAAATGTTCCTTCTATGTTTACATTATTATGGAAAGCATCTTGTAGGTTGGTATTCAACAGCACTGAAATAAGATTCATACATGGCTCACACATTAGTATTTACAGATAAATATAAATGTTACAGAAACACCATGCCTTTTCCTTTTTCCTGCTAAAGCAACTAGGTTATTGAAGTTATTGAGGTCATAAGAATACACAGTTATGGCCAGGCACAGTGTCTCACGCCTGTAATCCCAGCACTTCAGAAGGCCAAGGGGGCCAATCACTTGAGGTCGGTAGTTCGAAACCAGCCTGGCCAACGTGGTGAAACACCATCTCCACTAAAAAATACAAAAGTTAGCCAGGCATGGTGGCACCTGCCTATAATTTCAGCTACTCAGGAGACTGGGGCAGGAGAATCGCTTGAACCTAGGAGACACAGGTTGCAGTGAGCCAACATCGCACCACTGCACTCCAGCCTGGGCAACAGAGTGAAACTCTGTCTAAAGAAAAAAAAAAAATGAATAGACAATTATATTTTGGGCAATGTTAAATTTCAAATGACCAAATTACATTACAAAATACTGAATTACTTTAAAAATGTTAGTATTATTAATAACATTATTAACAAAAAATTAGT
The DNA here is from genome assembly GCF_000001405.40 of Homo sapiens. NCBI lineage: Eukaryota > Metazoa > Chordata > Mammalia > Primates > Hominidae > Homo > Homo sapiens. The sequence continues at coordinate 29,927,339 of NC_000012.12, read as the reverse complement.
ACAGAGACGTTTGATGAAATAGATTTGAACCTGAACTCTCAACACAGAAAATCATGACAGTCTTGAAACAGAAATTATTTGAATACTTATTACCTGAAAAATACTTTTTTCAATAGCATATTTTTTCTTAATATTATTTTTAATCTACAAATTATATTTATGGGGTACATTGTGATGTTTTGATATATATATTCCATATATACAATGAGAAGTAATTAAATCAAACTGATTAACATAACTATCATCTCACTCATCATTTTTTTGTGGTGAAACATTTGGAATATCTTGGTTATTTTGAGATTTGAATAGATTATTTTTGGCTATTATCACTATGCTGTGCAATAGATCTCAAAATTTATTCCTCCTGGATGGGCATGGTGGCTGACACCTGTAATCCCAGCACCTCAGGAGGCCAAGGTGGGTCCAGGAGTTCAAGACCAGCCTGGGTCCAGGAGTTCAAGAGGTCAAGACCACCCTGGGCAACATAGTGAGACCCTGTCTCTACAAAAAATAATAATAATTTTAAAATGGCCAGGCATGGTGACATGTACCTGTAGACCCAGCTACTTGGAGACTGAGGTGGGAGAATTGTTTGAGCGTGGGAAGTCAAGGCTGCAGTGAGCCCTGATCACACCACTGCACTCCAGCCTGGGCACCAGAGCAAGACCCTGTCTCAAAAAAAAAAAAAAAAAAAAAAAAGAAAGAAGAAAATTTATTCCTTCTGTATAACTGAAATTTTGTACCCTTTGACCAACAAATCCTTGTTCCCTCCCTTCCTGCCCCCAGCCTCTGGTAAGCAGCATTCTGCTCTCTACTTCTATGAGTACAAGTTTTTTAGGTTCTGCATGTAAGTGAGATTATGCAGTATTTGTCTTCCTGTGCCCAGCTTATTTCACTTAGCATAATGTCCTCCATGTGCATCCATGTTGCAATGATAGGATTTCCCTCTTCTTTAAGGCTGAATAGTACTTCATTGCATATGTGGTGTGTGTGTGTGTGTGTGTGTGTATACAATATTTTAACAATACCACATCTGAAACATATTTTAATAATACCACATCTAAAAAATATTTTAACACCTACCTTCCTAATTGATGTTCTATAATTAACAGCATAATTTTCTTTATAAATATAAATATACATGTATATACAAATAACTAAATACATTAATACGTTGCTTTGAAAACAAATATATTAATAATTACTATATGGAGGATAAATATATAAAGAGTAGAATATTGGGCTAGTAATAATAGCTAAATTGTGCTGATCACTTACTGTGTATCAGACACTATTTTAGGACTTTTACATTTAGTCAGGCATGGTGGCTGCCTGTAGTCCCAGCTACTTGGGAGGCTGAGGTGGAAGGATCACTTGAGCCCAGGAATTCAAAACTGCAGTGAGCTCTGATTGCACCACTGTACTCCAGCCTGGGTGACAGAGTGAGACCTTGTCTCTAAAAATAAAACTAAAAGTTTGCATGCATTATTAATTTTCACAATAATCCTATAAGACATGTATTGTTGTTATCCCTATCCTAGAGATAAGTCAACTTATGGATAAGTAACTTGTCCAAGGTCACATAATAAATGGCACAACTAATATTTCAAACTAAGATTTTGTCTACTTTGCTCCCATCCTTAATAAATATTGATTAATCAAAAGATACACACTGCAAGTCTATTTTAACAGTTACAGTTAAGAGAATATTTTCTCATTATTTACTTGTTTTATATAAGACAAAAGTAAAGGAAGATTTTTGTTTATTTAATGCATTTTTACTTATTTAATACATCTGTTCAGTTGTACTTTGATAGTTAAAATAATAATAAACATTAACATGAATTTATTAATTTTAAGATGTACGATCTATATTTTAATTGATAGCAACTACTAACTTTTGTCTTTATTCTATTGAATTGATATGTTTATGGTGATCACCATGAAAATGGAAAATTGTTAGGGAGAATATTTTTACTGTAATCAGACAAAATAGGTAAAGAAAATCCATATAGACATTGTACTCAATACAATACTGATTCTTTACACAAAAAGAAAAATATAGGAAGAAGAGATGATACACATTTTAAACCTTTGAATATCTTTCATATGGCAGGAGAAACTCATTGTGTGTTACAGTAGTCTAAGTAGAAAATTTTATCTTAAAATAATGAAAGATATTCTATTAATTAAAACTCTGCCAGTGAAATAGCTTTCTGAGAAAGTAATGAACATCAGGACATGGAGATATTTAAGCACAGACTAAATAACCATGTTAGTGATATTGTTAAAGGCATGACTGCATCAAGTGTTGAGAGCTGGGTTAGACAACCACCCTTAGATTCTGTGGTAATAAGAAATTTTTACTACAAACTCCTTTTATAATGAAAACAGTGGAAAATCCCAGTTTTCTCACAGGTCAAAGCCAGTGGGAAATGATGCACTATAATAGAAATCGCCTGAATTCCCTGTAGGCATCTTCTGCCTCTTTTTGTCCACAACGTTAGCTCTGCAGGGAAATTGCACGTTTCAGTTTCATCCACTTTGCAATCAGCAACTTATGCTGTGCATGGGACTTTGGAACATAATAGGAAACAGGTCATTCGTGACCTAGTAGTGGCTGGTTCCATGATGATGATTATTGCATTCATCATTTAAACTCTTGTGTGTGAAGAGAGTGGTATTCCACAAATTTCTTGGGACCTAGTTCTGTGACATGAAAATATATGTGTTTTTAAAAGTTTATTTAGAGCTATAAAACAGTCATGGAAATAAGATCAACCACAGGCTTGGATGATCATGGGTGGGCTCCAACACATCACGGCATGAAAAGTAATTTTTATATGAGCTGTGTCTTCCTGTTTTTCTCTCCTTATATCTTTCTTCTCTCAAATAATTTAATGTTCATAGGTTATCTTCTCTTTCAGTTATTTGAAACTAAAAAAAAGAGATTTCTAAAAAATGAAATTAGTGCAGTTTGTGCTTTGCCGTGTTAACTAGATACTGAATAGCATGAACTCCTTGTTTTGTTTTGTTTTGAATGTGTCTGTGTAAGATAGGTGCTATGATTTTACTGATCATAGAGAATTGTATGTACTTATAGATAGTATCATTAAAGATCAATCAAGGTATGTTTTCTGGGAATTAAGACTCTATTCAACCACTGGTTCTTAACTGAGGGGATTTTATTGAACATTGGCAATGTTTGGAAATTTTTTAAAAAACTATTTTTATTGAAGTACAATCAACATAGAAAAAGCTGTATATATTTAATGCATACAACTTGGTTAGTTTAGAGATAAGTATATACCCATGAAACCATTGCCACAATCTGCAAGCTATCCCAGAAGCCTATTCAACTTCTAAAACTTTCCTCTTACCCTCTTATTTATTATTATTAATTTTTTCTATGATAAAGACACAACATTAGATCTACCCTCATAGCAAATTTTTGAGTATACAATACAGTGTTGTCACCTATAGACATTAAGTTATACAGTATATCTCTAGGACTTATTCATCTGTGTAACCAAAATGTTGTACTCTTTGACTAGTATCTTCCCATTTTCCACTCTCCCCAACCCCTGGCCACCATTGCATTTTCTGCTTCTAGGAGTTTTATTTCAGATTCATCATGTAAGTGGAATCATGTAGCCCTGTGTTTGGCTCATTTCACTTAGCATAGTGTCCTTCATGTTCACCCATGTTGTGGTAGATGGCAGGATTTCCTCTCTTTATGGCTGAATAACATGCCATTTTATGTATATATCACAATTTCTTCATCAGTTAATCTGTTTGCGGACATTTAGGTTGCTTCCATGTCTTGGCTACAGTGAATAATGCTGCTGTAAACATGGAGTACACACATCTCTTCAAAATCCTGAATTCAATTCCTGTGGATATATACTCAGAAGTGAGATTGCTGGATCATATAGTAGTTTTATTTTTAATTTTTTGTGGAACCTTCATACTGTTTCCCACAGTGGCTGCAGCAATTTAGATTCCTGTCAATAGCGTCTCTTTTCTCCACATTTGTGCCAAAGTGTATCTGTTGTTTTTTAAATAATAGCCATTCTAACAGATGTGAGGTAATAGTTCATGGTGGTTTTGATTTGCTTTGCATTTCCCTCATGATTATTGACGTTGAACTCCTTTTCATGTGCCTGTTATCCAGTTGTGTGTCTTCCTTGCAAAAAAAAAGTCTACTTAGTTGCTTTATCCATTTTTCATTGGATTTTTTATTTGAGGTTCTTTGCTTTTGAGTTATAGGAGTTTCTTGTATATTTTGCATATTAACATCTTATAAAATATATGGTTTTCCATTATATTTTTCCTATCCCATAGGTTGTTTTTTTATCTTGATTGTTTCTTTTTTCTGTGCAGAAGCTTTTTAATTTGATGTAATCCACTTTATTTTCTTTTGTTGCCTGTGCTTTTAGTATCATCCAAAAAATCATTGCCAAGGCTAATGTCAAGAAGCTTTTTTCCTGTTTTCTTCTAGGAGTTTTATAGTTTCTGCTGTTATGCTTAAGTTTTAAATCCATTTTTAGTTGATTTTTGTGCGTGGTGTAAGATAACCATCCAGTTTCATTCTTTTGCATGTGAATACCAATTTTCCCATATTATTTATTGAAAAGGCTAATCTTTTTCTCATCGTATATTCTTGGTATCCTTATCAAAGATTATTTGACCGTATATGTGTGTTTATTTCTGAACTCCCTATTCTGATTCATTGGTCTATACAATTGTTTTTATGCTAGTACCATATTGTTTGACTACTGTAGCTCTGTAATATATTTTGAAATCAGGGAGTGTTGTGCCTCTAGCTTTGTTCTTTTTGCTCAAAATTCCTTTGGCTATTCGAGGACTTTTGGGATTCCATATGAATCTTAGGGTTCGTTTTTTTGTTTCTGTAAAAGTGACATTGGGATTTTAGGGATGTTATTGAATCTGTAGATCACTTTGGGTGGTATGGACATTTTAACAATATTAATTTTGCAGTCCGTGAACATGGGAGGTCTTTCAAATTATTTATGTCTGCTTTAATTTCTTTGATTACTGACACAATTTTGAAAGAACAAGTCTTTTGCCTCCTTGACCAAGTTTATTCCTAAGTAAACTCCAAATATCAGTAGTGGCCAAGGTTGAGAAACCATGTGTTAGAACTTAGTGTGGCTCAGTTTTCCTCACAGCATAACCTAAATGTCAAGACTAAAGTGCTACTTCAAATAGTATGTTCCTTTTCTTTTGTATAGAATACTTTCTCTTGCTGGTAAACAAGCTTGCTTTGTTCTATAGTGAAAGCTAAACTTGATGAATCTTCTTGTTCAGAGGAACTGAAAATAGGGGGATCATATTGGTTATACCTAATAAGAGCAAAGATTCACCACAATTCCTTCATCCATCTATTCAACTGATATTTATGAAAGGTATCTTATGTCAGGTAGTCTTTGAGGTAGTGAGAATAGAGCAATAATAAAAATTCTGCCATCATGAGACTTTTATTTAGTAGAGGAGGATTTATCAATCAATATGCGTGTACATACAGACAGACATAGGCATAAAGGTGCATGAATGAATATTCATGAGAAATATAGAGCAAGGAAGGGGAATAGGGGTGCTCTTCTCTGTCGTCCCCCTTCCATAGAGGTTACAGTGTAAATTACATGATCAGGGAAGTCCTGGTGAAAAGTACATTTGAGCAAAGTCCATGAAGGTTCAAGCCATATGGTAGTCTAGGGGAAGAGCATTCCAGGCAAAGCAGACAGCAAGCACAAAGGCCCTGTGTTGAAGCTAAGTACCAGCCACATGGCTGAGACACAGCAAGTGAAAGGAAGTGATAAAAAGTGAGTCATAGATCACAGGGGCCAGATTATGAATGCAAGAGCCAGGTCATATAGGACCCAGAAGGAGACTGTAGGGACTTTGACTTTTATGCCTGGTAAGTTGAAAACCTTTAGAGGACTTTGGGTAGGACTCATATGGTTCAAATGAGCTATTCTTAGGCTTCATCCCTATCATCCTCCGTGCTCTGCAGCCTATAGCCACAAAATGTAAACCAATTAAATGGCAGGACAGAGATAAGGATATCACCCTTGTCCTACAGCTGTGATGAACACAGTGTTCCCCTGCTGACAGGGTTTACATTGTACAGAAGCTGGGCCACTCAAAACACAACAAAACAAAACACCAAGACCAGAAAGGTGAGCCACAGTGCTGGGGAAGGAGAGGATGGTGTAGGCATTAACCTGCGGCTGGCAAGCCTTGATCGAATAGAGAACATAGTGGTGCATGTGAGCAGAACCTTCATCAGACGCAATGACTTGAACCCTGATCTTAATCATAGTAAGCCTGCAGACTAGGTGCACTGCATCTGATGTGGTCCTGCTGATGCCACTAATGGATGGGAATTATTCTTACTTGACCTAATAGCTCACTGCTGGCACATTGTGCAACAAGCTGTCTTGCCCCAGCCCTCAGCTTTGCTCCTTCCCTGAAACTGGGTGAGACTTGGGATGGGCTGGCACTCTGGTAAGGGTACAAGAGGGAGTGCCACTCTGAGGAGAAGTGACGCCAAGAGATGAAATGAAGCTGCTGGGGGCATAGATTATTATTTGGTAATAAAAGGAAGTATGTTTACATTTTGAGATGGGGCTAAATACTAGATTAAAAATGTGATACCAACATTTTCCATGAACAACTGGTAGCATTAACCTGGCCATAGCATAAGCTATATTTTCTCTGCAAAAAATGTCCTATGACAGTAATAACATCTAGAAATTGAAAGATAAAAATTCCTTAGGGTTTAGGAAATTAAGATATTAAATGAAAGGTTATGAACCTATTTTTAATGGCTTCTGGTAGTACATGATGTGTGAGAGAAAATTAAAGGGAAATTGGAGAAAGTAAGTATTGCCACACTCACCTAGGTTTTGAGCGAAGGGTCAGAAGAGAGAAGCCTGGGGTGATCACAGAAGGAGATGCCAAGGCCCCAGACTGGAGCCCACAATTCAGGGAAATTTCCAGTTGATAACCAGCTATAATAGAAACATATTTTGAAAACTCTCAATTGACTGCACAATAAGTGCAAACCTTAACAAATATCAGAAAATACATGTAGGACAAAAGCAAAAATTGATAAATGGGATCTAATTAAACTAAAGAGCTTCTGTATAGGAAAAAAATTATTAATACAGTAAACAGACAACCTACATAATGGGAGAAAATATTTTCAAACTATGCATCTGACAAACGTCTAATATTCATAGGACTTTATTTGTCTATAAGGAACATAAACACATTTACAATAAAAAAACACATTAAAAAATGAGCAAAGGACATGAACACTTTTCAAAAGAAGACATACATGTGGTCAACAAGCATATGAAAAGAAACTCCACATCACTGATCATTAGAGAAATGCAAATCAAAACCACAATGAGATACCATCTCACACCAGTCAGAATAGCTGCTTTTAAAATGTCAAAAAATAACAAATGCTGGTGAGGTTGCAGAGAAAAAGGAATGCTTATACACTGTTGGGCAATGTAAATTAGTCCATCTATTGTGGAAAGCAGCGGGCAATTTCTCAAGGACCCCAAAATAGGACTACCATTCGACCCAGCAATCCCATTACTGGTATATACCCATAGGAATATAAATCATTCTATTATAAAGACACATGCACTTGTGTGTTCATTGCAGCACTACTCACAATAGCAAAGACACAGAATCAACCTAAATGCCCATCAGTGGTAGACTGGATAAAGAAAATATGGTACATATACGTCATGGAATACTATGCTGCCATAAAAAAGAATGAGATTCTGTCCTTTGAAGAAACATGGATGGAGCTGGAGGCTATTATCCTTAGCAAACTAACACAGGAACAGAAAACCGAACACAGCATATTGTCACTTATAAGTGCGAGCTAAATGATGAGAACACGTGAACAGAACGATGGGAACAACAGACACTGGGGCCTACTTGAGGGGGAGGAAAGAGGGGGGAGAGGATCAGGAAAAATAAACTAATGAGTACTAGGCTTAATACCTGAGTGACGAAATAATCTATACAACAAGCCCCCATGACATGGGCTTACCTATATAACAAACTTGCACATGTAGTTCTTAAGCTCAAATAAATTTTTAAAAAATACTCGTAGGGCAAATTTTGGGCTTGAAAATAACTAATGAAATGCAGCAGTCTCAAGTTCTCAGTTATTCAGGATTTTGTCAATCCTCATTGATAAGAGCAATCTTAAAATATCTTTGCTATTTGTGTTTGGGCACAGAGAGGGCCTGAGGATTCCACTCAACAACATGGGGAGACTCTTTGTTCATTCCTCCTTTTCACCTCCTTGACAAGTGATGCTGTGAGGAACAGACACTTTACACAGTGCCTGGGTTGTAGCAATGGCAGCAGAACACTGAGTGCTCACTGTGTGTCAGGCCCTGTGTGTCAGGCTCTTTTCATCTGGTTCCTTCTCTGGAACACAGCAAGCAGTAGTAAATGGCAGTGGTTGACTGCACGCAGTACTTCCACTCCAAGCAATACTGCTTGAATCTATGACTGAAATCTAAGGAATAGCCATTTTTCATCCATATGTGAGTTTAAGCAGAGAGTAAAGTGGAGAAAACTCATGCCTTTTGGAATAGAGAAAACCAAAAGACATGAACTCTGAGACTTTGCAGAAATTGATCCAGACGATAAGTGAGCCACAGAAGGGAGAAAATAGATTTATAGCTGGAAAAGGCCTGGAGAAAGTTAGCAGTTGGGACTAATTGGCAATGAACTAGGATCAGGCAGACCCCTAACCTGAGTTAGGGGGATTAAACAAAAGAGGTGGGGTCAACAGAGGATGAGGACAGTGTGTTAAGCAGGTTAAGAGATGGACAGATGGGGCTAGAGCCCTGTACCTTTCTTTCTGCATTAAGGTGTTCGGTAGGTATGCACTGCCACACACCTTGCAGAACTATTATGTTCTTTTCTTTTTAGAAAACTCACATTTTCACTTAACCTAGACTCTAAAAGTTACTTTACATTGAACATTGGAATAACTCCCCACTCAATGGGTATGGAAAACATGAACTATTTTGTCATCACTCTTACAGTTTCAGAAAACTATTTTCTTCCTCTCTTCCTTCCTCCCTCCCTTCCTCCTTGCTTTCTTCCTTCCTTCCAAGAATATGAATCTCTAGCCAAGACTCTGGTTGATTAGAACATGACAAAATATGTAATAGCCCATCTGTTATTCAGAAGGTTCACCTGGTGTCCTCATACCTTTCATTAGCAGAATTGAAAAAAATCTGCTCTTCTGCTGTTTAACCTTGTCCTATGACTATTTTCGCTCACATTCTCCAGCTGGTCAGGTACTTAAAACTAACAATGAGTTCTTCAAGAACATGAAATGGCAAGGATAACATTACACACAGAGGCAGCATTTTCTGTTTCCCCTGTTCCATTATGAGAGCAGTCTGATGGATCAAAATGTAATGGGTCCCTTCCCTTCCTGTTACAAGAGGACTGAGTGTCTGCAAAATATTATTATGAGAAAATCTTGCCACTGGTTTCAGATAGCAAATTAACAAAGGAAAATCTTGCCAAACTGGAATGTTTAGGAAAACAACAACTGCAGGAAATTTAAGAAAAAGATCAGACATAGCAGCACTTGTGCCCAATCCCAAGAGACAAGGATGGTGCCTCTATCAGAGCAAAAAGGGATGGGAGGGGCTGAATTCTGACCTTGTAGGAACAAAACCAATGATGAGTTTTTCTCAATCTGTGTTCAGGGTGGCATAATTTTGGACAAGTGCCCTCAACTCTGTATTGAGATATTTACATTTCCATGGAAGAATATATAAAATGCAAGAAAAGACTAAGAGGGAGGAGGGGAAATAAAGCATTTTAGTCTGATTTATGTTTGATTTAGCTCCTGGCTCACCTTTGTATGTTGCTCTGCATTTGTAAATGGGAGATATACCTCCACTCTTAGTCATTTATTTCCAAAAATGCAAAAGTTGAGAGGACTATGGAGGCAGAGTCTCTACTCTTCCTGGGGTGAGATATTTCAAAAGTGATAAATCCTCCAAGGTAAATCATTTGGTGAAGGCTATCAAAAGGAGGTTCATGTAATTCTGCAGAACCAGAAGAAGAGTGGCTATAGTTTTTATTACACCTTTGGGATGATGTGGGGGAAAGGGATGGTATTAATTGATCCAAGGGTGTATTATTTGAACCCTGTTAAGAAGTAAACTAAATACCACTCTGATGCAAGTTTTTCCATTATTCCAGTATATCAGACTCCAAGATTAAGTCCAAGTCATAGATGAATACCCTTGCCCATAGGAAATATCAAGGAGCTTGATACTGCTATTTCTTCATGAAAATATTTACAATATATGGGTTTATTGCAAGTATCACTGGAATAGTGGTTCTCCTCTAAGGTTTCAAAAGTGCTTTAAAGGTTATAAATGTTTCTTCCCCAATATATGGTTATCTTTAAGGGGAAAATAATATAATTCTACTAAAAAGTAGTATAGTTCTAAACTGTAGCTATAGTTATATCTCTGGCTTCATTCCTGATGTTTCTTTGTGCTTTCTTTGCAACTTTGTAATTATTTTGGGAGAGAACATGTACTCCTCATGAGTCTTTAAAGAACTAGCTTTGGGTTTGATCCACTCTATTGTATAATTATTTCTATTTTCAACTTCTGTTATATTTATTTCTCATTTATTTGAGTTACCTCTATTGTTCTTCTAACTTCTTGGGTTGAAGTCAGCTCATTAACTGTGGCCCCACTTAATCTCTACCACAATCAAGCTTAATTTCTCTTCCAGAAGCTTTATTATAAGGGAATGATTATTTTTTCAAATTTTATACACGAAGATGTTTATTGCAAATTGTTGATAGCGGTGAAAAGGCCTACCAATAGCAAAATTCTTCAGAATATTTGGTATTTCACTTACTACAATTGCATGTGATCTAACATGATTAGAAAGCCCATGTGACAAAGTAGGGAAAACGTTTTTAATTGTAAAGTAGAGAATATCAAATTGTGCTTACCCTTATAAAAATAATATGTGCAAATGAACAAAAATTCAAAAGAATCAGAAAAAATTAAATGATTGTATTATTACATGGATAGAAGGTTAATATGTTTTTCAAAACCATTTTTGTTATAAACTTTGGATGAATAATTTTTTTAATTTATAAATCAATTTTGTTAATATCTACTTTTGGTTTTGTTTTTTATTATTTTATTTTATTTATTTATTTATTTATTTGTTTATTTTATTATTATACTTTAAGTTCTAGGGTACATGTGCACAACGTGCAGGTTTGTTACATATGTATACATATGCCATGTTGGTGTGCTGCACCCATTAACTCATCATTTACATTGGCTATATCTCCTAATGCTATCCCTCCCCCCTCCCCCCACCCCACAACAGTCCCTAGCGTGTGATGTCCCCCTTCCTGTGTCCAAGTGTTCTCATTGTTCAATTCCCACCTATGAGTGAGAACATGCGATGTTTGGTTTTTTTGTCCTTGCCATAGTTTGCTGAGAATGATGGTTTCCAGCTTCATCCATGTCCCGACAAAGGACATGAACTCATCCTTTTTATGGCTGCATAGTATTCCATGGTGTATATGTGCAACATTTTCTTAATCCAGTCTATCATTGTTGGACATTTGGGTTGGTTCCAGGTCTTTGCTATTGTGAATAGTGCCACAATAAACATATGTGTGCATGTGTCTTTATAGCAGCATGATTTATAATCCTTTGGGTATATATGCCCAGTAATGGGATGGCTGGGTCAAATGGTATTTCTAGTTCTAGATCCCTGAGGAATCGCCATACTGTCTTCCACGATGGTTGAACCAGTTTACGGTCCCACCAACAGTGTAAAAGTGTTCCTATTTCTCCACATCCTCTCCAGCACCTGTTGTTTCCTGACTTTTTAATGATCGCCATCCTAACTGGTGTGAGATGGTATCTCATTGAGGTTTTGATTTGCATTTCTCTGATGGCCAGTGATGATGAGCATTTTTTCATGTGTCTGTTGGCTGCATAAATGTCTTCTTTTGAGAAGTGTCTGTTCATATCCTTTGCCCACTTTTTGATGGGGTTGTTTGTTTTTTTCTTGTCAATTTGTTTGAGTTCTTTGTAGATTCTGGATATTATCCCTTTGTCAGATGAGTAGATTGCAAACATTTTCTCCCATTCTGTAGGTTGCCCATTCACTCTGATGGTAGTTTCTTTTGCTGTGCAGAAGCTCTTTGGTTTAATTAGATCCCATTTGTCAATTTTGACTTTTGTTGCTATTGCTTTTGGTGTTTTAGACATGAAGTCCTTGCCCATGCCTATGTCCTGAATGGTAATGCCTAGGTTTTCTTCTAGGGTTTTTATGGTTTTAGGTCTAACATTTAAGTCTCTAATCTATCATGAATTAATTTTTATATAAGTTGTAAGGAAGGGATGCAGTTTCAGCTTTCTACATATGACTAGCCAGTTTTCCCAGCACCATTTGTTAAATAGGGAATCCTTTCCCCATTTCTTGTTTTTGTCAGGTTTGTCAAAGATCAGATGGTTGTAGATGTGTGGTATTATTTCTGAGGGCTCTGTTCTGTTCCATTGGTCTATATCTCTGTTTTGGTACCAGTACCATGCTGTTTTGGTTACTGTAGCCTTGTAGTATAGTTTGAAGTCAGGTAGCATGATGCCTCCAGCTTTCTTCTTTGGGCTTAGGATTGACTTGGCAATGCAGACTCTTTTTTGGTTCCATAGGAACTTTAAAGTAGTTTTTTCCAATTCTGTGAGGAAAGTCATCGGCAGCTTGATGGGGATGGCATTGAATCTATAAATTACCTTGGGCAGTATGGCCATTTTCACCATATTGATTCTTCCGATCCATGAGCATGGAATATAATTCCATTTATTTGTATCCTCTTTTATTTTGTTGAGCAGTGGTTTGTAGTTCTCCTTGAAGAGGTCTTTCACATCCCTTGTAAGTTGGATTCCTAGGTATTTTATTCTCTTTGAAGCAATTGTGAATGGGAGTTCAGTCATGGTTTGGCTCTCTGTTTGTCTGTTGTTGGTGTATAAGAATGCTTGTGATTTTTGCACATCGATTTTGTATCCTGAGACTTTGCTGAAGTTGCTTATCAGCTTAAGGAGATTTTGGGCTGAGATGATGGGGTTTTCTAGATATACAATCATGTCATCTGCAAACAGGGACAATTTGACTTCCTCTTTTCCTAATTGAATACCCTTTATTTCTTTCTCCTGCCTGATTGCCCTGGCCAGAACTTCCAACACTATGTTGAATAGGAGTGGTGAGAGAGGGCATCCCTGTCTTGTGCCAGTTTTCAAAGGGAATGCTTCCAGTTTTTGCCCATTCAGTATGATATTGGCTGTGGGTTTGTCATAAATAGCTCTTATTATTTTGAGATACATCCCATCAATACCTAATTTATTGAGAGTTTTTAGCATGAAGGGCTGTTGAATTTTGTCAAAGGCCTTTTCTGCATCTATTGAGATAATCATGTGGTTTTTGTTGTTGGTTCTGTTTATATGCTGGATTACGTTTATTGATTTGCATATGTTGAACCAGCCTTGCATCTCAGGGATGAAGCCCACTTGATCATGGTGGATAAGCTTTTTGATGTGCTGCTGGATTCGGTTTGCCAGTATTTTATTGAGGATTTTTGCATCGATGTTCATCAGGGATATTGGTCTAAAATTCTCTTTTTCTGTTGTGTCTCTCTCAGGCTTTGGTATCAGGATGATGCTGGCCTCATAAAATGAGTTAGGGAGGATTCCCTCTTTTTCTATTGATTGGAATAGTTTCAGAAGGAATGGTACCAGCTCCTCCTTGTATCTCTGGTAGAATTCGGCTGTGAATCCATCTGGTCCTGGACTGTTTTTGGTTGGTAAGCTATTAATTATTGCCTCAATTTCAGAGCCTGTTATTGGTCTATTCAGAGATTCAGCTTCTTCCTGGTTTAGTCTTGGGAGGGTGTACGTGTCAAGGAATTTATCCATTTCTTCTAGATTTTCTAGTTTATTTGCGTAGAGGTGTTTATAGTATTCTCTGATGGTAGTTTGTATTTCTGTGGGATCAGTGGTAATATCCCCTTTATCATTTTTTATTGAGCCTATTTGATTCTTCTCTCTTTTGTTCTTTATTAGTCTTGCTAGTGGTCTATCAATTTTGTTGATCTTTTCAGAAAACCAGCTCCTGGATTCATTGATTTTTTGAAGGGTTTTTTTGTGTCTCTATCTCCTTCAGCTCTGCTCTGATCTTAGTTATTTCTTGCCTTCTGCTAGCTTTTGAATGTATTTGCTCTGGCTTTTCTAGTTCTTTTAATTGTGATGTTAGGGTGTCAATTTTGGATCTTTCCTGCTTTCTCTTGTGGGCATTTAGTGCTATAAATTTCCCTCTACACACTGCTTTGAATGTGTCCCAGAGATTCTGGTATGTTGTGTCTTTGTTCTCGTTGGTTTCAAAGAACATCTTTATTTCTGCCTTCATTTCATTATTTACCCAGTAGTCATTCAGGAGCAGGTCGTTCAGTTTCCATGTAGTTGAGTGGTTTTGAGTGAGTTTCTTAATCCTGAGTTCTAGTTTGATTGCACCGTGGTCTGAGAGACAGTTTGTTATAATTTCTGCCCTTTAATGTTTGCTGAGGAGTGCTTTACTTCCAACTATGTGGTCAAATTTGGAGTAAGTGCAGTGTGGTGCTGAGAAGAATGTATATTCTGTTGATTTGGGGTGGAGAGTTCTGTAGATGTCTATTAGGTCTGCTTGGTGCAGAGCTGAGTTCAATTCCTGGATATCCTTGTTAACTTTCTGTCTCGTTGATCTGTCTAATGTTGACAGTGGGGTGTTAAAGTCTCCCATTATTATTGTGTGGGAGTCTAAGTCTCTTTGTAGGTCTCTAAGGACTTGCTTTATGAATCTGGGTGCTCCTGTATTGGGTGCATATATATTTAAGACAGTTAGCTCTTCTTGTTGAATTGATCCCTTTATCATTATGTAATGGCCTTCTTTGTCTCTTTTGATCTTTATTGGTTTAGTCTGTTTTATCAGAGACTAGGATTGCAACCCCTGCCTCTTTTTGTTTTCCATTTGCTTGGTAGATCTTCCTCCATCTCTTTATTTTGAGCCAATGTGTGTCTCTGCATGTGAGATGGGTCTCCTGAATACAGCACACTGATGGATCTTGACTCTTTATCCAATTTGCCAGTCTGTGTCTTTTAATTGGAGCATTTAGCCCACTCACATTTAAGGTTAATATTGTTATGTGTGAATTTGATCCTGTCATTAAGATGTTAGCTGGTTATTTTGCTCATTAGTTGATACAGTTTCTTCCTAGCATCGATGGTCTTTATAATTTGGCATGTTTTTGCAGTGGCTGGTACCAGTTGTTCCTTTCCATGTTTAGTGCTTCCTTCAGGAGCTCTTGTAGGGCAGTCCTGGTGGTGACAGAATCTCTCAGCATTTGCTTGTCTGTAAAGTATTTTATTTCTCCTTCACTTATGAAGCTTAGTTTGGCTGGATATGAAATTCTGGGTTGAAAATTCTTTCCTTTAAGAATGTTGAATATTGATCCCCAGTCTCTTCTTGCTTGTAGAGTTTCTGCCGAGAGATCATCTGTTAGTCTGATGGGCTTCCCTTTGTGGGTAACCCGACCTTTCTCTCTGGCTGCCCTTAACAGTTTTTCCTTCATTTCTACTTTGGTGAATCTGACAATTATGTGTCTTGGAGTTGCTCTTCTCAAGGAGTATCTGTGTGGCATTCTCTGTATTTCCTGAATTTGGATATCAGCCTGCCTTGCTACGTTGGGGACGTTCTCCTGGATAATATCCTGCAGAGTGTTTTCTAACTTGGTTCCATGCTCCCTATCACTTTCAGGTACACCAATCAGATGTAGATTTGGTCTTTTCACATAGTCCCATATTTCTTGGAGGCTTTGTTAGTTTCTTTTTATTCTTTTTTCTCTGAACTTGTCTTCTCACTTCATTTCATTCATTTGATCTTCCATCACTGATACCCTTTCTTCCAGTCGATCGAATTGGCTACTGAAGGTTGTGCATTCGTCATGTAGTTCTCGTGCCATGGTTTTCAGCTCCATCAAGTCCTTTAAGGACTACTCTGCATTGATTATTCTAGTTAGCCATTCATCTAATCTTTTTTCAAGGTTTTTAACTTCTTTGCGTTGGGTTCGAACTTCCTCCTTTAGCTCAGAGAAGTTTGATCGTCTGTAGCCTTCTTTTCTCAACTTGTCAACGTCATGCTCCGTCCAGCTTTGTTCCTTTGCTGGTGAGGAGCTGCATTCCTTTGGAGGAGGAGAGGCACTCTGATTTTTAGAATTTTCAGTTTTTCTGCTCTGTTTTTTCCCCATCTTTGTGGTTTTATCTACCTTTGGTCTTTGATGATGGTGACGTACAGATGAGATTTTGGTGTGGATGTCCTTTCTGTTTGTTAGTTTTCCTTCTAACAGTCAGGACCCCCAGCTGCAGGTCTGTTGGAGTTTGCTGGAGGTCCACCCCAGCCCCTCTTTGCCTGGGTATCAGCAGTGGAGGCTGCAGAACAGTGAATATTGGTGAACAGCAAATGTTGCTGCCTGATCGTTCCTCTGGAAGTTTCATCTCAGAGGGGTACCCAGCTGTGAGAGGTGTCAGTCTGCCCCTACTGGGGGCTGCCTCCCAGTTAGGCTACTCGGGGGTCAGGGACCCACTTGAGGAGGCAGTCTGTCCGTTCTCAGATCTCAAGCTCCATGCTGGGAGAACCACTACTCTCTTCCAAGCTGTCAGACAGGGACAGTTAAGTCTGCAGAGGTTTCTGCTGCCTTCTGTTTGGCTATGCCCTGCCCCCAGAGGTGGAGTCTACAGAGGCAGGGAGGCCTCCTTGAGCTGCGGTGGGCTCCACCCAGTTCGAGTTTCCCGGCCACTTTGTTTACCTACTCAAGCCTCAGCAATGGGGGTGCCCCTTCCCCAGCCTCGCTGCTGCATTGCAGTTTGATCTCAGACTGCTGTGCTAGCAATGAGCAAGGCTTCGTGGGTGGAGGACCCTCCTAGCCATGTGTGGGATATAATCTCCTGGTGTGCCGTTTGCTAAGACCATCAGAAAAGCACAGTATTAGGGTGGGAGTGACCCGATTTTCCAGGTGCCATTTGTCCCCCCTTCTCTTGGCTAGGAAAGGGAATTCCCTGACCCCTTGCACTTCCTGGGTGAGGCAATGCCTCTCCCTGCTTCGGCTCACGCTCGGTGCACTGCACCCACTGTCTGACAATCCCCAGTGACATGAACCTGGTACCTCAGTTGGAAATGCAGAAATCAACCTTCTTCTGTGTCGCTCATGCTGGGAGCTGTAGACTGGAGCTGTTTCTATTCAGCCATCTTGGACAAGAAAAAGAATAATTTTCAAATATATGTGAGGTTTCTTGCCTTCAAGAGGAAATGTCAGTTGTCAGGACAATTAACTGAAATAGTCTATTTTTTACTTCAAAGTTGGAGTAGTGGACTATTGTTGTTCATGTGCGTGGGATTAGACAGGGAAGATAAATTGACTTTATTTTGACCTTCCTCCTTTGAGTTGGCAAGATAAATGTGCAAAACAAGCAAACTGTCATACCTGTAGCTAAGAATATGTGAAATAATTGCTTGGATTTGTATCAAACACTACACCTTGACAACAGCGACTATACCTCTTCATTGTTGGAGTTTCAGATGTGGGAATGGAAAAAACTAGAATGAACCCTGTGAGGGGCCTGAGAACGTGATACCTAAAACCATGTTCATTGCTCAGGAGTCATTGTTCTAAGCCCTTCCAATTCTGTGGGCTTAGCTTAAATTGTTTCTCCATAAAGCTTTCTTGGAGAATCCCTTTCCAATAAATTTTTCTCCTTGGAACTGGTTGTCCTTGCTGCCTTTATGAGTTACTTGGGAAAAATCACCTGCTACCACTCACTTTAGAATCACCATCTGTTCATTATTTATTGCTATAAAATTTGACTCTCATTCCAAGTCCTCTATTGGAATTATTTTCTTAGAAATTTTCATAATCATTCAATTCAACACTGTTTTTCTCAGACTTTGATCTCTAACTCTAATCCCTCCCAAAGCTCCCTGTAGAAGTGGCTGATTCCAGGCTGGGGAAAGGTAGGTATAAAATGGACCTGGAACATTTTGTTATGCCAGAAAGTAGATAAATGTTCGATAAATTGATGGGAGATGTCACAAGAATAAAGGATCTAGCTTGAAGGGGCTTTCAGTGTCCAAATTTGGAACACCAAATAATTTGAACACCAAAATAATTAGGCATAGTGATATATTAAAACTATTGAAAAAATAAGAATTTATGAGTCCATACTGATGATAGAATGAGAGACAGAAAGAGAAAGGACTAGGGGAAGGAGGAACAGAAGAAGGGAGGAGGAGTAGAAGGAGGTATTCTTGCTCACAATAGACTGCCATATGTCAATAGTAAATATGGCGATAGTGCTAGAGTTGGAAAATCATTACTCTGCAACCATCATAGTAAAGCTTGGATCAGACAAGGGTTACAAATGGATGTTAAACCTATGGAAATTTGTTATAATGAGTGGAATATTTGCATAATCTTAAAGTGTCTCTCCATAGACTTCTTGTTAATTGCAAGAAAAGGAAAAAAGTAATTCTATATTGGAGATATCCAGCAGACAGCTTGATGGATGATCAGGTTTACATCACCAATACGGGAAAGATAGACATCATGTACCTCTTATTAAATGTGATACCCTGAGAAGGTCATGGCATAAAATCACCTATATGGTTTTCTGACCAAGGGAAGATAAGTGAATATATGGATATATGTATATAATCTTTATACACTTATGTTATTTTTGAACCTGAATTGTTGAAATGTGATTACTGACTCAAATGCTTGCTAGTTTTAATGATAGTACATAGTGCCCAAATGCTCCAAAAATGTGCTGAATCAGTACATATTCAAATCATGGCACTGCTGCTTACTAGCTGTATGACCTCACCAAAAATGTATTTTTTTCTTTTTTGCCTCATTTTCTTCATCTGTAGAGATTAAGAAATCGTCTTATTCCATAAAGTTGATGTAAAGATTAAATAAGTTAGTAAATTTAAAAATATTTAGATTAGTGCCTGGCATGTAGTGAAAGATATGTAAATATTAGTTCCTGCGGCTATTACCATAAACATCGTCAATGTTATCAATATTATTCTCAATAACAGCATGTGGCCATTTCCTCACACCTTGCCATCACTGGGTTATTATTTTAAAATCAAGGTTAAATCTATTTTTAGTTTTAAAAGGTAAATCTTAATGCTTATTATGAAAAATAACTTTTTCCCCAACCCTACATACTTTTTTCCTCTCTTGCAACTAAGAAGTCTCAGTTGTGTGGAAGAACACTAGCTGAAAGTTCATGAATGGCAACCACATTCAACTCTTTCAGCTAGCTCTTTGACATTGACCTTTATATTTCTAAATAACATGCTTCTCTCCCCTCCCCAACATACACACATTGGCGCTACCTTTCTCTCATCCTCTGTTTGATCCTTATATTGTGTCTACATATATTCAGTACATAGCTGAGTCATGCAGCATGCTGTGGTTACATTTCCTTAAGCATTCCACTAGTTTTATCTGGGATAGATTGTTCCCAGAGCCTTCTGTTCCCTGGCTGTCATCTTTCTTGGGTGCTCACCAAGCCTGCTGTACAGAAGTCATCCTTGGATCCTGAAATCTCCCTTTGCCATCATCTTTTTTTCTCCAGCATTCTTTTTTTTTTGTTTTTCAACTTTTATTTTAGAATTGGGGGTACATGGACGGGGCGCGGTGGCTCATGCCTGTAATCCCAGCACTTTGGGAGGCGGAGGCGGGCGGATCACAAGGTCAGGAGATCAAGACCATCCTGGCTAACACGGTGAAACCCCGTCTCTACTAAAAATACAAAAAATTAGCCGGGCGTGGTGGTGGGCGCCTGTTGTCTCAGCTACTCGAGAGGCTGAGGCAGGAGAATGGCATGAACCGGGAGGCGGAGCTTGCAGTGAGCCGAGATCGCGCCACTGCACTCCAGCCTGGGCGACAGAGCGAGACTCAGTCTCAACAACAACAACAAAAAATTGGGAGTACATGTGTAGGTTTATTACAAAAGAATATTCTGTGATGCTGACTTTTGGGGTACTATTGATCCTGTCCACCCAGGTAGTGAGCATAATCCCAACAGGTAGTTTTTCATCCCTTGCTCTCCCTCCCTGCTCCCTCCCTAGTAGTCTCCAGTGTCTACTGTTGCCTTCTTTATGTCCATTAGTACCCAATGTTTAGCTCCCAGTTATAAGTGAGAACATGTGGTATTTGGTTTTCTGTTTCTGTGTTAATTCGCTTAGGATAATGGCCTCAGCTGCCTTTGCCCTCATCTTTGAGATTCCCTTTGCATTTTACTTGTGTTAGATACTTTCTGTTCTGGAGTCTTTGTATTTTGTTTCTTGCTTTACTCCCTTATTTTGGTGGAGTACATCCTTCAGAGGCTTAGTGGAAAACGACGAATGAAAGGTATGTATTCTGAGATCGTTGGTGTTGAAGAATGTCTTTTTATCTACCCTCACACTCAAATGCTATATGGGCTACATAAAACTTCTATATGGGAAATCAATATTTTTTTCCTCTGGAATTCAGAACTCCACTATCTTCTAGTTTCTAGGATTGCTTATTCTTGAGCCTTTATGTGTATATGTGATCTTTAATTTCTCCCCTCTGGAAGCTTTTAGAATCTTCTATTTGTCCTCACAGTTCTGAAAGTTCCTAATAATATAACCTGATATGAGTCTTTTTCATCCATTGTATGAATTTTCAGTAGGCATTTTCATATAGAAGTTCCATCTTCTCCAGTATTGCATATTTTTTTCCAGAATTTTCTGGATTTCTTTCACTTTTCTTCTGCTTATTCTTTCTTTATAGAATTCTTATTACTCTAATGGTAGTCCTCCTGAACAGAAGCTCTACTTTTCTATATTTTTTCTACTATTTTCCATCTCTTAATCTTCATGCTGTTGTCATTTCTGGGAGATTTTCCTCAAATTTATGTTCTAGTCATTATATTGAGTGTTTTATTTTTGCTAGTATATTTTCAATGTCTAAGGTTTTCTTGGTTCTTTTATGATCTCTGTATGTTATCTTCTCTTCTTTTATAGATGCAACGTCTATTTCTATTTCACTGAGGATGTAAATGATATTTTAAGCTTTTTTTCCCTTCTCTTAACTGTCTGTTTCCTCTACGATCCTTCTGTCTGTTTTAGTCAGTGACTTTCATGTTAGAGGCTTCCTTTTCTACTGTCAATTATATCTCACAAGCCTATTTCACTCATTATTAAATATTTCAGCAAATATTTGTTGAGCACCTACTCTGTGCAGTATACTATGGGAGATAAAAAATAGAGAGCCTAATGCCAGTACTAAAGCAGTAGCTGAAGACCCAAGGAAAGATACATGTCAGAAATAAAGCAAGTGGTTTTACAGAAATCCTCAATTGTATCATATATTTGTTTATCAAAGACAAAGAGGAAGGGGGAAAAAAGAGGGAGAAAAAGGAGGAGGAGGAAGAACTTTATGAAAAGAAGGGGAAGGCAATGGGAAGATGTACAATACATTGAAGGGTACAAAGTTGCAGATAAGTAGGATGAATAAGAGTAGTAATCTAAGATACAGCATCAGGACTGTAGTTATAGAATTGTATATTGAAAAGTTGCTGAAAATAGATTTCAGGTGCTCCTACCACAAAAAAGGGAGGGGGTAACTGTGCAAAATGATAGATATGTTAATTCGCTTGACTGTAGTAACCATTTCGCTGTGCGTAAGCACAGATGCTCCTCACCTTAGAATGGGGGCTATGCCCAGACAAACTCATCATACATTGAAAATATTATAAGTCAAAAGTGCATTTTCTACTTATGACATTTTCAATGTATGATGAGTTTATCCAGACCTAGCCCAATTATAAATCAAGGGACATGCTATGTATTGCTTTCAGATCATCCTAAGTCAAAAAATCATAAGCTGAATCATCGTAAGTCAGGGATGCTGCATATATCAAAACATCATGTTGTACACCTTAAATATATACCACAAGTTTTAAAGTTAAACAATAATAAAAAACATTTTTTTAAAGAAGGAAAAGAAAATTTAGTATGGTGATGTATGAAAGTGCCAAATGAGTGATCAAATACATACTACAGTAGTTGAAAGTCATGAGAAATTTGTAGATGACTAGATGATTAGGGCAAGATTAGGGAACAAGCAATGCTTAATGGAGTCTTTGAAGGACAGACAGAAATTAAAGAGAGAGAACAAAAGGAAGAATATTTCAAAACATGGGAAAATACAAGATTAAATATAGATATGGAATATGCATATTTCAGGGTTGTAGATTCCAAGTTTTGGAATCACCTAGCAAGCTTTTAGGTCTTGGATGAGGCCTGAAAATGTGCATTTTAAAAATATACTTCAGGTGCTTATTAGGGAATAAGCCAAAGATGGATTCTTATAAAAGAATAAAACACAGTTGGCTTGGATAAGTTATCTGGGGCTTCTGGACTAAGGTAATCTTTATGCCACATCCAAAAGAATATTGTTGAGTGTTTTTGTTTTTTGTTTTCTCTTAAGGGTGATGACCTCAGGGACTTGAGTGTGTCACAAGGAATGCAATCAGGCAATTCCATGCCAGAACAGCTACAGGGAGATAGACTCTGGAGCCGAGCATCAGAAGACTCCTTTATTAATTTTGGGACAAGCTATTGGCCTGTCCTGGTGTTGGAGTGACATTGGCTGGAAAGAAGCATATAGAAAAAAGACATTTTAAAAATCAAGATGAATGATGGTAGAGAGGACATTGTCAAAGATGCCAAAATTTTAGACTCATTGGGAGCATGATAGAACTGGTGATGGAAATGGGGAGACAGAGCATTTTTTAGATAAAATGTTAAATCTGGGTTTAGGGTGTTCTGAATTTAGGGTGAATCACCCAAACAGAAAAGTTCATTAGACTTAGAGGAAAGTTTGACTTAAAGGAACTGATTTCAAGAGTTGCTGGTGGAGGAGTCATTGGTGATGCTACAGTTAGTCTAAGACTTTCATCAGAGAATGGGAATAAGAGATAACAGGTGCTTCCCAAAATCTTGATTTAGGAAGAACCCATAGTTAATGAAACAGCAGAAAGTTAAGTACACAGTGAGGGACCAGGAGTCAATGAACTAGGCAAACCAGAGATTTGTAATGTCTTAAATTTCCTTTGCTATCCTGCAGAGTTAATAAGCAAGTACCTGAAGTATATTTTTAATCTGCATATTTTCAGCCCTCACCCAAGACTTAAAATCTTCCTTGGTGATTTCAAAGTTTGGAATCTACTACCCTGAAATACAGATATTCCATATCCATATTTAATCTTGTATTTTCCCATGTTCTGAAATGTCCTTCCTTTTGTTCTCTGTCTTTAATTTCTGTTTGTCCTTCAAAGGCACCATTAAGCCTCACTTGTTCCCTAATCTTGCCCTTATCATCTAAGCATCTACAAATTTCTCTTGGTTTTCAACTCCTATAGTATATATTCAATCACTCATTTGGCATTAACATACAATGCTATACTAAGAATTCTTTTCCTTTTCTAAAAAAATATTTTTATTATTGTTTAATTTTAAAACTTGTGGTATATATTTAAAGTGTACAGCTTGATGTTTTGAAAGGAGTACACAGAAATATGTCTCTGAAAGAGTGTCACTGCCTCGTGTTTGTAATGGTGCTGTATTTTTGTATCTTACTGCCTGAGCCATTTTCATTGTGATGTGATTACATCATTCATTATCCTCTAAGAATTGTCACTAGAGGCCGGGCACAGTGGCTCAAGCCTGTAATCCCAACACTTTGGGAGGCCGAGGCGGGTGGATCACGAGGTCAGGAGATCTAGATCATCCTGGCTAACATGGTGAAACCCCGTCCCTACTAAAACTACAAAA
Organism: Homo sapiens; assembly: GCF_000001405.40. Lineage (NCBI taxonomy): Eukaryota > Metazoa > Chordata > Mammalia > Primates > Hominidae > Homo > Homo sapiens. Next base: position 29,903,306 of record NC_000012.12, on the reverse strand, counting down.
AATTAGCCAGGTGTGGTGGCAAGCGCCTGTAGTCCCAGCTACTTGGAAGACTGAGGCAGGAGAATGGCCTGAACCCAGGAGGCGGAGCTTGCAGTGAGGCGAGATCGCGCCATTGCACTCCGGCCTGGGCGACAGAGTGAGACTCCGTCTCAAAAAAAAAAAAAAAATTGTCACTAGATTCTCTTATTTATTCCTCATCCCTCCAAGACACCCCTCAAAACCTGACAGCTATGCAAAGTTAGGATGTGCCTTGCCACCAGCTGCTGGTGGCACTGCTCAGTGAGGATCAGAGCAGGGCATTACAGAAGGTGTGTGCATTGGCAGGCCAGCCACAGGAATTTCCAGATGTGTTATATTTGCAAGCAGTGTGGCTGAATTTATAAACTTATTGGTACCTAAATGCTGTTTTTAAAATTGTTAGGTGCCAACTTTTTAAAAATATGTAATTATTATTTTGATTCTTCTTTTTATTTCCTTAGGTTAACTTTGCATGACCTGTAAATGTTCAACATGCTTATTGACAATATTCTTATTCGCATCATTTTTCTATTTTAAATAAAGGTAAAGGGTAAGGGTTGGCATGAGTCTTCCTGAGGGAGAGTGAATCAGTTGGATCACCCAACTAAGCATCTCAACCACAGATGAACCAAAGTCACCTTACCGGTTTTTGCAAAGAGCTTGTATTCTGAAAGTAGATGAGAAAATACTCTCCATTTCTATTTGTTGGACTTTATGTGGTAGTGATTCTTGCTGAAAGTCTTTGAACTGGAGAAGTTCTTGTTTTACAGGAATTATCAATGATCACACCTAATAAATCAGTGGTAAATATTTTATGTGTAAAATATATATTTTCATAAAATATAGGGAATAAGCACCTAATTCAGTACCAAGGTTCCTCTGTTATTTTCATAGATGTAGGTATTTCTGCAGTTCATATACCAACCCTCCTGGAATCATATGAGAAACCTGAAACCCTTTCTGCAGTAGAGACCATTAAGCTAATGGAAACCAACTTAGAAACTTGTTTTCCTTTTGCTCATTTTGAGTCGATTCTTTCCATATTCAACACTGAAGTATGCCAGCAAGATGTGTTCATTTCTACTTGAGGGCATTTTCTAGTTGTAGAAGCAGGGAAAATTTTTATTTCACGAGTTAAATAAGAGTTGTATTTGAAAAAGCCTAAATTAACTAGCAGCATATTTCCAAAGTGAAGGGGGAGGAAAAAAAAAAGTCCCCAAGGTTTTAGAGTTGTTAGGGATAGGTGCCATAGGCCAGTCCCCAGTTGGCCAGCCTTTTTATTGGTCTGTGGTTGACCCTTAAAAGCCTTCATAATTAAAAGGCTGTAAATCATTTCTGAAGGCAGAAGAAGTTAAATGAACACAGTACTTACACACATTCAGGTGTGCCCACACCTAAAAAAGGTACGAGTCTCCTTTTTTACCCAAGCTTTCTACGCACAAAAGAGATAGCTTAAAACAGCCGCAACAAAAGGTGGCGCTATTTCCCTTGCTGCTCTTTCATGATCCCACCCAAATGTCTCTCCTCACTGGCAGGTATTCTTTGATTGACTGCTGCAGGACAGGCCTTGGTGAGGTGAGATGTCTTACCTTTAAATAAAGGCTGAAGTACAGATTAGTACATTGGAGGAGATGTTCTAATTTCTAAAACAAGATTATGTTTTGTAACTTAAAGGGATTTACTACTATTTAATAGTGATCAGGACAGTCAATGAGCTTGCCAGAGATTTTATCCAATGGAAAGGGAAAAATATCTTGTAAATACACGTTAAAAGGACATCGGAAGCTAAAATTGAAATTGCATTTTGAATGCATCTTATGCATTGCGTTCGTTTAATGTACCTTTTACAGTACTATCTAATGCAAAATTGCGTGTTGTATTTCAAATCTAGTATATTATTCAGCAAATATTTATTGGGTCTCTGCTCTTTGCTTAGTACTATGTTAGTACTGTTTTTGAACTAAGCAGACATTGTGCCTACCCCGAAACTTCTTATCTATTCAGGAGTTGACATCCAGGTGCACTGCCACCTAATTTGAGAATGACTTTACTCAGGTAATAAGGGGATTCTCCAAAAATCTAGGGATCATGCCTGGAAATAGAAATGGCCTTTCTAGTTGGAGAAGTCTGAGAGAGCTGATTATTTAAATAGGTGACCTTCCCTTTCTAGAGGAGACAGTAATAACTGCCGTTTTCTCCTTATTCGGAGAGGCCTATTTAAAACTGGTATTTCAACACTTGGCTAATTATTGCCAAGAAAGCCACCGAGAAGATGTAGTTGACATTTGCCATTTTGACAACCCAGATATCTAAATCCAAAGGGAATGTATCAAAAATTCAAGAGTTAGAAATTATTCACGGCAGCAGCATCAGGAACCAAGCTGCAGAATCCAGAGAAGGCAGTATGCAAAGCAGGGCAGCATCCACTGCCCGGTGGCAATGGTGTTTGGTGGTAGCTAGGAAGGTGGTGCTGCCAGGGACACCCGATGACACAGTTTCAGTGCTGGTTCCTGCTGTCTAGCTCTCTTATTTCTTTTATTTGCCAACCCAGTTTCCCACCTTCCTTTCAGTTCTGTGAGCAATCTGAAATCTTTCTAATAAATTCCCTTTCTTAGTGCATTAGCCAGAGTTTATTTCTGTTGCTTGAAATCAGGAAAGCTAACTGATACAAAGAACAAACTGGTACTTTGCTCCTAAACAGTGGCCCTATATGCACTTTTATTCTATGTTCATTAACCCAATTTGTGATAAGATAGAAGCATTTTCTCCTTTCATAGTGTTGAGAAGCAATTTGTGATGCCCTCCAAGCTTAAAGAAAATGTGGTACATATACACCATGGAATACTATGCAGCCATAAAAAAGAATAAGATCATGACCTTTGCAGCAACATGGATGGAGCTGAAGGCCATTATCCTAAGCAAACTAACCCAGGAATAGAAGACCAAATACCACATGCTCTCACTTATAAGTGTGGAGCTAAACATTGAGTACATATGGACATAAAGAAGGGAATAGCAAACACCAGGGCCTACTTAAGAGTTGGGGGTGGGAAGAGGGTGAGGACCAAAAAACTATCTGTTGGCTACTGTGCTTATTACCTGGGCAATGAAATAACTTATACACCAAACCCCTGCGACACACAATTTACCAATATAACAAACCTACACATGTACTCCTGAACCTAAAAGTTAAAAAAATAAAAATAATAAAATAAATAATGTAAAATTTTTAAAAAAGAGAACAAGATCATACCATTCACTTTCAGTTGGGCACACTGCTCATTGCAAAAGACTGGCCTATCTGACAATTTAAGAATGGCACCTGGAATCTATTGAACACCTACTATTTAATAAGCTATAGAAATGATCTCTGAGAGTATAGTCTTTGAACATCTACTATCTGAGAAGCACTTTGTTAGACATTGTGTCACATCTGCTCAATTTCTGACATCCATTGTGTAAGCTAAGCATTATTATTCCCATTTTACAGAGGCTTCAGGAAGTCAAGGTACTTACATAAAATCGTGCTACTAGTGTGTGGTGGAGAAAGATTCCAAAGTTCATTCTATTTCACTCATTATCAGTGTATACAGAATGCAGAGAACCAATCTGCCCTAGTTCAGAAATGTGTTTGTTCTCTTGGATCAGAGCTACTGCTCCCGTTAGTGTTTCAATTGCTGCTGAGCTGTGGTCTCAGGGAAGGAGTGGGAATAGAAACTGGAAAACAGTTCTTACAACCTGATTTTTTTTAAATTACAATTTCTGTACTGCAGGAATCATAGTGGGGGCTGGTGCATTCATCAGCCCATGAGAATCTGCTTCCTAGAACCTACATTTAGGAAAACCTCCCTATTCCACCCCTATTTCCTGGAGTATGTCTCTTTAAACAGAAGCCCAAAATGAGTTCTGGCATTTTTCTGTGCTTATCACTGCTGTTTATACTTTTTTTTTGTTTGTTTTAGAAATGACCTGCTTTAAGGGTTTCTATTCAGTGTTAATGAGCCATGCCATTGTTTAAAATATCTTACAAAATTCTGAAAGATTCAATATTTTCTTCAGTAATTTGTGGAAATGTAGTAATTTATGGGCAATATGAAGGTATCAACATTAGAAACATATAGTGAATCAGATCATTTTGTTTTGAAAGAGGGAAGTGTCACAAAGATCATTAGAAACAGAAAATCAACAGAAAAACGATAAATTATGCAGTCTATATATGACTAGTGTGATTTTCATTTCAATAAGTGAGATACGCGTGTTACCTTTCATTCTATTTATTTGAGAACTACAGAATCGATAGCTTGCACTGCTTGAACTTGTATCACCCTTCTTAATTAGAGTCACAATACTTCTCTTACATTCTGTAATATAAAGACATACAACCCCTGAGCTGTTAATAGAAGGGTAGATATTGCCCATGCAGGACTGGAGAGGAAAAATTAGCACCAGATGTGAGGAGGAAATAGGTGATATAGATAATCTCCAAGATTTCTTCTCTTGCAAAATTCTATGCGAGGTTGAAAATGAAAAGTCCTATGATAAGTAAATTTTTCTTAAGTGGTGTAACTTGAATATTTTTAAACTATTATGCTTAAGAATAGCTATAGCATGAACTCAGTAACTTATACTCAGGTTTATGTCTGTTATGATTTGGTCTCAGTGACTACCTCCCCCTTTTTGTTTATTAAGCCACTTATGTTTTTAATATATGAAACTTCCTACTAGTGAGAAGGCATGACTGAATTTATAGGTTATATTTATGTGGCCATAAAGCCCTACTTAGAACCATGGGTGATTCTCTTTTAAACATTTTTAGGCATTATCTCGAGGTAATCTTTTTCAATGTGCTTGTTATTTACTCACTGGGTCAACTCTATTTCCATAAGTGATTGGCTTTGGTAACTGCAAAAGTTTACAAATGCAGAGCAAAGACAGTTCCTCAATAGATTGGTTGAATGTGCACAGAGGACTGGCATTACTGCAAAACGGCCCCACTCCAAATCATTCAAGAGTATTGATACGACTGGACATGCCTTTCTCTTCTTTCTACTTTCAACGTCTCAACATCGTATGTTTATATTCAACTTGAAACCTAATTTTCAGAAACGTCTGGGATTAAAATAGGATGTGGGTGTCCACACAAGGACATGATTGTTCATGTGACATAATAACTCAGGCTTTTGACTCTCCAGGTCTTTTGTTGAGCCGTCACTTCATTTTAGCTCTTTGGTGACACTGTTAATTTTATTCTGCCATGCACAGAACTACTAAATTAGAATAACGGATTGTACTTTCAATTAGATTCCATATCCTCACATACCTTAATGACTGAATAGATGAGAAAAATGCTACAAAGTGTAAATATTTATTTGCACATCTCTTTATTGCAATTCTACTACTTTATTGCACTTCTATTGATTTACTGCAATTCTACTTTCCTACTACATGCCTTTGTAAGATTCTAAATGTGATCCCAAAGGAAAGTATTTAACTCCATGACACTATTATAGCAGACTTTAAGTTTTGAATTTTATAATATTTGGTTACTAAACAAAAAAAAATCAAGTCATAAGGGAAGATGTTAGTATGAATGTACTTTTATTTAATTCTCTCTTTTGAAAATTATAGCAGTGAATATATATTCCTAGACATAGAGATTCATTTATTAAGGAAGAATGTGCAAAATGAAAGTATGGATGCAAGTTTGGCCAGTACGAAATTTTGTCCTTTCCTGTGCACATGGTAAGTTGTAGGGAAGGGACCATCAGCCCTTCACTGTCAACCTCCAGCAGCCACCTTCAGATTCAATTACCAACCCAGAGCAGAGGAAGGTGGCTTTCTTGTCCCCAGAATCTTCATAAAGTATTTTTATTGGCACATATTTCTTGTTAATCTGTAAAACTTTAGATGGGCGTCTAAAATCTTGTTAGGTACACTCTTGTCTATTACAAAAAGTATATTTATGAGACAACATGATCTTGTAAAGGCCATTAACACAGTTTTGATAAGCCTTCAGAGTTCATCAACACCTATTTCCCCTCAAATTTCTAATATACTTTTGAATGTTTCTTTTTTTCACCCTTACTATGGTTTAAATGTTTTCCCCAAAGCTCACATATAGGAAAGTTGATTCTCAATGCTGTGGTGTTGGGAGGTGGGGGCTAATTGGAGTCATGGGGGCACCAACCCCATGAATAGATTCATGCTATTATCATAGGAGTGAGTTCTTCATTGTGGGAGTGGGTTCCTTATAAAAAGAATAATTCAGCTCCCCCTTGCTGTCTTTCACCCTCTTTGTCCTTCTACCATGCAATAACACAAGAAGACTTTTGCAGATGCCAGCACCTGGATCTGGGACTTCCCAGCCACCAGAACCTTGAACCAATAAACTTCTGTTTACCATAAATTACCCAGTCTCAGGTATCCTGTTACCACAGCACAAAATGGACTGAAACAGAATATTGGTACCAGAGAAGTGCAATGTTGCTATAACAAATACTTGAAAATACAGAAGTGGCTTTGGAACTGGATGATGGATAGAGGTTGGAAGAATCTGGAGGACAAACTGTAAAAAGCTTTGAATGGAATGTTCAGAGCAATTCTGGTGAGGACTCAGACGAAAACTGTAGGAAAAGTATGGAACTTCTTAGACAACACCTATGTGGTCATGATCAGAATGTTGGTAGAAATATGGACACTAAAGGCCATTCTAATGAGGTCTCAGCCAGAAATGAGGAATATCGTATTAGAAACTGGAGTAAAGGCTATCCTTCTTATAAAGTGGCAAAGAACTTAGCTGAAATGTGTCCACTCCCTGGAGCTTTATGGAAGGCAGAATTTAAGAGTCATGAACAAGGCTATCTGGTAGGAGAAATGTCTAAGTAAAATATTGAAGGAGCTGCATGGTTTCTTTCAACTGCATATAATAAAGAGAAAGAAAAGAGAAATGGTTTAAAGACAAAATTTATATTTAAAAGGGAAGCAGAACATAAAGATTTCAAAAAGTTCTGCTTTGCCATGTAAAGAACAAAAAAGCATGCAAGGGTGAGCACCAGGTTGCAGCCAAGCGACCCTTTGATAAAGGGATTTGTGTGGCTAGAAGGAAGCCAGGTGCTATTTATCAAGACAATAGGCGAATAACCTGAAAGCTGGAGATCTTCAAGGCAGCCCTTCCCATCACAGGCTCAGAGCTCTAAGAAGGCAGAATGATTTGGAGTGTGTGTGTATGTGTGGGGCGGGATGGGGATGGGCCCAGGATGTCTTCCATGGGTTCCCTGCCCAGGGGCACCTTAGAACTCTGCTCCTTTCATTCCCTCACAGTGCCCCTCAGCTGCCACAGCGATGATTCAAGCAAGCCCAGGTGCAGGTCATGCCACTGCTCCAGAAGGTGCAAGCCATAAACGTTGGTGGTGTTCCCATGGTGCTATTTCTGCAGGTGCTCAGAGTGTGCAAGCTGTGGAGGCATGGCTACTTCCACCTAGATTTCAAAGGATGTATCCAACAGGGGACCTAGGCAGAAACCTGTCACGGGGCAGAGCCACTGCAGAGAGTCCCCACCAAAGCAATGCCTAGTGGAACCACAGGGGTAGGGCTGCCTCCAGAATTCCAGAACTGTAGAACTACCAGCATGCAACACCAGCCTGGGAGAGCTGCAGGCACCAGACTCCAACCCTTGAGAGCTGCTATGTGGCCTAAGGCAAGCAAAACTAGGGGATGGGGCCACCTGAGGCCTTGGGGACCCAACCCTCACCACAGTGTGCTCAGGAATAGGGATATAGAGTCGAAGAAAATTATTCTGGAGCCTTAGGATTCACCCTGTTGGGTTGTGGACTTAGTTGGGACCGGTTACTCTTTCCTTTTTGCCAATTTCTCCCCTTTTTGAATGGAAATGTCCATCTTAGTCCTGTCCCACCATTGCATTTTAGAAGTAGATAACTTGTTTGATTTCACAGGCTCGCAATTGGAGGGAAATTTACCTCAAAACAAATCAATCATACCTTGAGTCTCACTTGTATCTGATCTAGATGAGGCTCTGGACTTTGAACTTGGTGCCGGAACAAGTTAAAACTCTGGGGCTATTGGGAAGGGGTGATTATATTTTGTATGTGAAAAGGATATAAACTTGGGGGGCCAGAGGCAGAATGCTATGGTTTGAATATGCACCCTAATGCTTGTGCATTGGAAACTTGATACCCAATTGAGAGGCATTTCGATTATGGGGGCACTGCCCTCATGATTGAGTTAATGCTGTTATCACAGAAGTGGATTCCCTGTAGAAGGACAAGTCTAGCTTCCTCTTGCTGGCTCTCTGCTCTCTCTTGCCGTCTCTTTGCCCTTCTGTCATGTCATGCCTCCCATCATGGGAAGATGCAGCAAGAAGGCCCTCACCAGAGGCCAGCACCTCAATCTTAGACTTCTCAGCCTTCAGAACTGTGAGTCAATACATTTCTGTTCACTATAAATCACCTAGCCTCAAGGATTCTGTTATAGCAGTACCAAATGGACTAAGACAAACTTACTCCACTATTTTTTAAAAAATTAGTTTGTATTAACAACAGTCTTGCTATCCATCCCAGACTCATTAAATACTGACTTAGACTTTTTGAGATGGAAAGTTTCTTAATCTGATATATTCTGATTATTTGCACTTTAAAAGTAAAACAAGGAAACATAAAGAAGAGAAAGTATAAGTAAAAAACATGCAATGGTGAAAATGAACACGCTATTAGGATATGAGGAAAAATGTGAAAATCTTTAAAATAAATAATAATAATAACTTTAAAAATTCCAAAGTTCCATATGTTTTGGGTTCTAAAATGAGGCATGCTATGTAATTACCTATCATATTGAATATGGAGGCATTGATGCTAGGAATTCAGTGGTAAAGCAGCTTAAAGATATATAGAGATATATATGTGTGTACACACACACACACACACAGACACACACACACACACACACAGAGAGACACACAAACATACAAACTTTATTCCTCTCCCCAAATCACCTCCACTTCAGTACTTAGCCCTAGGCTGGGCACACACTTTAAGTAGTTAGTACTTGTTGATTTCTGAGTCTCTCTGATTACTTTCCTCAGTAGCTACAGAGCACAACCATGAAAGTGATAAATCCATAAAGGGCATACATATGAAATTGACTTCATCATCCATTCCTTATGCACCTCACTGTTTTTGAAGATAACAATGACAATACACTGAAAAGTAAATTTATAGAAGAGTTTTATGCATGATGAGCATGCTAGAATTTCCAGAGGCTTTCGTTTGTGTTATTATTAACTATTTCAGATGACAAAAATATTGAGAGTGATGAAAAGTAAAGAGTCATCACTCAAATTGCTTTGATTCCTGTAGAAGATCCCTATTCTCTTATCTCAACTCTGCTCACTGATACAATAGGAATCAACAGAATATGTGTGGTTCCAAATTTCAGTCAAACCCTGCAAATTCAGCTAAAAGCTATAATATAATTGCCAAAAAACTTTTTAAATGTTAATTTAGCTAAAAATGAAAATAATAACTATAAGTTTTGTGTGATTACACTAGAAAAGTAAGTTTTTACATTTTAAGTTTCCTATGTACTGGATTAGCTCCCATATACAATGTGCAGAAAGAGCTGGTCTCAGTATCTAGACTTAAATAATGAATTTGAAATGATCTTCCCTCTAGGCATGCTGTCCTTATCTCTTCTCTGTTTCTTTTTTTCTGTAATTTTGCATGCATCATGTATCTGTGGGTTCCCAACAAATGCTAATTAAATATACCAAGATGTTAAAGGCAGCAAATGAAGGAACCAAGCTAGAACTTGTCTCCTGGCCTAGCATGGTAGCACAGGCCTGTAGTCCTAGCTACTGGGGAAGGTGAGTTGGGGGGATCACTTCAGCCCTGGAGTTTGAGTCCAGCCTGGGTAACATAGTGAGAATTCATCTCTAAATAAATGAATCAAATTAATAAAAATTGTCTCCCTATTCTGTTTGTAGAATATGTGGCATTTGAGTAGGTGACAGTTTGACAATAAAACAAAATCAGCGGACATTACACCAAGTCAATTTGGTTTTTTTTTATGCTGACATAATAAAATTTCCAGTTATTCATCTGAGCAATGTTTATCTTTTTCCCAGCTCTGACGATTGACAGTTTCTATTTATAAATGTTTTTGATTCACTTTTTAAGCAATAGTGCGTTCTCAGATACAGTATTACTAAAGATGTACAATTTCAGAGTATAGTATTTAATCCACCCATTTTCCTACTCTTGTTATCAACTATAAAAAGCATGAATGGCAAATATCTAATTCAGAATAAGAGCCTCACAGTGGTCTAAAGAACAAGTCCTAAGTTTTTGACAATTTTAAAAAGAAAGAATAGTTCAGGGTAGGGAGGATTCATTCATTCATTCATTCATCTATCCATTCAACACAACCTCACAGGTGTTTTGTGGAACCTAACAGAAAGCATGATTCATTATTCTAATTTAATGATTCTTGGCATAGCAGAAGAAATTAACAACTACGTGCCAAGTATTGTGCTAGGTGCTGAGATTATAGCAGTAAACAAAACAAACAAAAGTCCTGCCATTTTCAAGCTTACATGCTCATCTAGAGAGACAGGCAACAAACAAGCAACTCAAATGCTATGATTAATTTATTTTAAGATCCACATATTTGCACGTTTTAAGATCTCAGAGATGTATACATGCCTTATGATGCTGTTAGCCAGTTGTCAGTCTGGCTGTCAGCTGTAGGACATAGTTGCTATTGCCTGAGCATGTGTATCAGAACTTGTAGAATGAAGTCAGCAGTTTGGGAGAAGATCCTGGAGACAACAGTAGAGTGCTCTTGAGAAATGCACCATCACCAAAGCTCTTGATGGCACAAAGCACGGGGCTACGTGGAAAAACACCCAAGTCAATTAATACCAGTCCCATGATCTAAAACAGCTGAATTCCAAATGTGATGGAATTTTAGTAATATCTTAAACAATTTAAGCAACTTGTTCTGCTGATATTTTTCTGTTGGGTTTGCACAACAGTGATACATAATAAAAATCAATGTTGTCTAAAATAGCTCTTTCAATAAATATAAAATAATGTTGAAGTGATAAGAATGCAATATGTAAGTCTTATTGGCACCAATTTTTAATTAATTTCCTAGGACATAAAATTATAGTGTTTTTTGTAACTGATGGTTTCTTATATTTAATGATACCTGCTACTTGTGTATTAGATGGTAATAAATACCCTGGAGAACACTAAAGCATAGAATAGCAAATGCCGAGTAGGCGGTTTGTAATTTTAATCAGGGAAAGCAGAAAAACCCATTGAGAACATGACATTTAAATAAGACTTGAAGAGAGACTGCACTGTGCAGACAGCTGAGAAAAGAGTATTTTAGGGAGGGTGAACAACCAGTGCAAAGGCCCTAAGCAGGATCATATCTGGCTCATTTGAAAAACAGCAAGGAGCGAAGTAGTAGGAGGTGAGGTTGAAAGCTCATGGGGTACCACCTTACATGAACCTTGTAGAGGATTGTAAAGATGTATTTTAAGATTATATGGCCAGACGCGGAGGCTCACGCCTGTAATCCCAGCACTTTGGGAGGCCAAGGTAGGTGGATCACGAGGTCAGGAGTTTGAGACCGGCCTGGCCAATATGGTGAAACCCCGTCTTTACTAAAAATACAAAAATTAGCCAAGCGTGGTGGTGCGCACCTGTAGTCCCAGGTACTTGGGAGGCTGAGGCAGGAGAATCACTTGAACCCGGGAGGCAGAGGTTGCAGTGAACAGAGATCATGCCACTGCAGCCCAGCCTGGTGACAGAGCAAGACTCTGTCTCAAAAAAAAAAAAAAAAAAAAGATTATAAGTGTATTCACATTTGTACTAAGTTAGGAATCCATTTGAGAATTTTGAGCAGAGGAGTAATATGATCTGGCTTACATTTTTAAAGGATCCTTGCAGTTGCTAAGACATAGAAAAACACTGAAGGGAGGCAAAGACAGAATCAGGGAGAATAGTTAAGAGGCTGTCATAATCCAGGAGGGAATGATGGTAGCTTGAACCAGTGTGGCAGTGTTGTGAAGTTCATCAGAAGTGACTGGATTCGTGACTCATTTTGAAAGTAAATCCAAAAGATTTTACTTACGGATAATTTGGATAATAATAATAAAAAAAAGAAGCAAGGTGACTTCAAGGATTTTCATCTTAGCAACTAGATGAAATTGGCATTAACTGAGATAGGGAAGACAACCAGAGGAACAGGTTTGGTGAGACTCTCAGGAGTTCATCTTTTTTTTAAAATTAATTAATGTATTTATTTATTTTTGAGACAGAGTCTCGCTCTGACACCAGGCTGGAGTGCAGTGGCACGATCTTGGCTCACTGCAACCTCCGCCTCCCAGGTTCAAGCGATTCTCCTGCCTCAACCTCCCGAGTAGCTGGGACTACAAGTGCACGCCACCACGCCCAGCTAATTTTTGTATTTTTAGTAGAGATGGGGTTTCACCATCAAAACACCCTAAGTATGTGATGCGTTTGTCAGACATCCAAAGGAAGATGTCATGTAGGCAATCAGATACATGAAACTGGACCTCTCGCCACCAGTCCTTTGCCAAAATTTTCCCAGTCAGTCATGTATGTATTGGCTGGAGTGTGTCCTCTTGTCGTTTCTTCAAAATGAATAACTTTTCCATTAGATCTCACCTTCCTGTGAGCAATGCTTCACTGAGCTCTTACATATTCAAAGCCATCTGGTAATACCATGTCCTGGAGAGAATGTCATCAATAGGATCTATCAATCGCAGGTTGCCATGTAAATTGGTACAGCCGCTGTGGAAAATAGTTTGGTAACATATTTTAATATTGAACATTTACAAACCCTATTAGCCAGCAATTCCATGCCTACATTTATATTCAAGAGAAAATCTTAACAAATTTATCAGAAGACATGAACAAGAATATTCATAACAACATTGTTACAGTGGCAAAAGCTGGAGATTATCTAAAAGCTTTTCAACAAAAGAATGAATAAATTAAGCTATACTCCCATAATGAAATTTTATATAGCATCAAAATGAATGATCTACAGCTAAACTCAACAATATGAACCAATCAGCAATGTTCCATGTTTCATCTCTTCTAACGTGCAGTTTTTCTTATAGCATCTTAGAATTCTGAGCTGACTTGTAAGGACTTTTTTCTTTATTACTGGTTGTGCCACTTATTAAGAGATTGCCTCTCAGCTCCAAATTCACCTTCCATAATCGGCTGTTTGATGTAACGCATGAGACTGCAGGCAGGAGACTGCAAATTCAGATGTGTGCTTTGCCAACTGACTCCATGAAGACTTTCGTCAATAGGGGGCGCCAGAGGAGACTGCCTTGCTAGAGAAGGAAGAAGGATTTGCTCTTCCTGTTCCTGTGACCTCCATCCCTGCCAATCTTTCTTCACAGCAGCAGTGGCAGTTCATTCCCACAGCAGCAGCTGAATCAGCTTGTAATTCTTCCATTATTTACAGAACCAGTGTGGTAACACTCCACCTCAGAGGCCTGGGTCCCAGCCTTAGGAAGGCCCCTCCTCTGGGGTCAGGCACCAGCAGCAATTGGGCAGTGCCTCCTCAGACATCTGAGTTTCAGCCCCACAGGGGCCCTTTTCTAAGTTTATCCCTTAGTTTCCTTTGTTTTCTAAGCCATAGGGGATGATAGCTCCTTCTTCTATGATACCTTAGAGTTCTCTTTTTGCCCTTTCAGTGGATAACAACCTTATACCTAGTACTGGTGTTTTATATAAAATTTCTCTGCTCAAGTAACTGGTGTGGTTTCTAACTATTGTGATGATATATAAAATAATTGTGTTTCTTGTAATGGATGCAGTAGTAGATTTGAAGTTTCAGAAGGTCCTATGTAGCAAAATAACTTTTGCAAGAAGTTAAAACAAATTTTAAAAACTATATATTTTAGGAACACACATGCACATACACATGATTGAGGTTGGCGCTGACCTCTGATGTAGGGAGGCAGAGAGATAGGGCATGATGGAGGGGCCCGTGGGTAGGCATGTTAGTATAATATTCTGGTTCTAGTAGTTGGGGCCATGAGTTTATCATGTTATTGAGAGGTGACAACGTGGTAGCAGCCCTCCCTTGCTCTTGGCACCTCCTCGGCTTCTGCGTCCACTCTGGCCGCGCTGGAGGAGCCCTTCAGCCCGCCGCTGCGCTGTCGGGATCCCTCTCTGGGGCTGACCCAGGCTGGAGCCGGCTCCCTCTGCTCACTGGGAGGTGTGGAGAGAGAGGCGCGGGCGGGAGCCCAGGCTGCGCACAGCGCTGGTGGGCTGGGGGGGGTTCCGGGTGGGCTATGGGCTTGGTGGACCCCGCACTGGGCACAGCCTGCTGGTGCCTGCTGGGCCCCATGTGTGGACCACTGTTCCCTCTTCACGGGGCCGTTGGCCACGATGGCGGGTCTCCATCTCTTTCTCCCTTCCCCTCTTTTCCTCTTGTTTGTCTGTGAGGAGCTCCCTCTGGGCTGCCAAAGTGCCTGGGCTAGGTGCCGCAAAGTCCGGCAAGTGTCAGTGAGAGGTGAAGCCGGCTGGACTTCTGGGACTGGTGGGGACTTGGAGAACTTTTCTGTCTAGCTAAAGGATTATAAATGCACCAATCAGCACTCTGTGCTAGCTAAAGGATTATAAACGCACTAATCAGCACTCTTGTGTCCAGCTAAAGGTTTGTAAATGCACCAATCAGCACTCTGTCAAAGCAGACCAATCAGCTCTCTGTAAAACAGACCAATCAGCTCTCTATAAAATGGACCAATTGGCTCTCTGTAAAATGGACCAATCAGCAGGATGTGGGTGGGGCAAGTTAAGGGAATAAAAGCAGGCCAGCCGTGCCAACAGCAGTAACCCTTTGGGTTTCCTTCCATGCCGTGGAAGCTTTGATCTTTTGCTTGCAATACGTTTTGCTGTTGCTCGCTCTTTGGGTCTGTGCTTCCTCTGTGAGCTGTAACACTCACCTAGGTGGTCTACAGCTTCACTCCTGAAGCCAGCGAGACCACAAACCCCCCTGGAAGGAATGAGCAACTCCAGACGAACTGTCTTTAAGCATTGTAACACTCACTGCAAAAGTCTGCAGCTTCACTCCTGAAGTCAGCAAGTCATGAACCCACCGGAAGGAAGAAACTCTGGACACATCTGAACATCTGAAGAAACAAACCCCAGACACACCATCTGTAAGAACTGTAACACTCACCGCGAGGGTCTGCGGCTTCACTCTTGAGGTCAGCGAGACCAAGAATCCACCAATTCTGGACACATTATTACACAGATGCTACCCAAATACTAATGTAGAAACATATAGGCAAACTACATTCATAATACATAATTACAGATATACACATACACATGCATACACACACCCATAAAATAAGATGGGGCATTGAACATTGATGTGAGTATAGAAAGAACTCAGATTGATTAATCCAATTCTCTAAAACATGAGATCAAAGCAAAACAAAAAAATTATGTCCCTTCTTACTTAAAGTAAGGTTTGGCTGAATGTAAAATATTTGACTCACTTTCTTTTCTTGTGTACACTGTAGCTGGTTCTTCGCTATCTTTTGGTATTGAATGTTTCTGTGGAGAAGTCTGAAGCCATCCTGATTTTCTTTCTTTTAAAAGTGAGTTTATTCACCCTTGTGCCTTTCTGCATCTTTAAAGGGTTCCAAAAGGGATTTGTGCTGCATATTTCAAGATAGCAACCTTACCTAGGTGTGACTCAGTGTTGATGGTTCTGGGCCAACTCTTGCTTAGTGTGCCCTGAGTATGCTTTAATTCTAAGTGAAAATATTCATTCTGTTGCTTTCTTTTGGTTTTCTTCTTTGGAATTCCAATTAAGCATATGTGAGCTATGTTTTTTAGCATAAAGCTATGCTTTATAGCATATATAGAGTTGTAATACTATAGCTCTTATTTGTCTATCATATCACTTTATTTCTCATTATTTTATTTTTTTCTTATTTCTACCCTCTATGTCCTTTAATGTGGTCTCAATAGTGTCAAATCTCCCTTGTGCTCTTTCTAATATACTTTGTATGCCTGTAATTTTTTCCCTTGGTTTATGTCCTGAGGTCTGCCATCACCTTCTGTTTTCTGTTCCTCTCTTCCCTGAGTTTGTCTATCTTGGTGTTCATATTTGGGATTTATTCATTTTTTAATTAATGAAAAATTGGTTAATTGTCTGCTCTATGGCACCTTTTCCTAAAAACTTATGTCTATCAAAAGGTCTTGCTGTTCTTTCCCACAAATGTTCTTAGAGTGTTTGGCAATAAGTACTATACATTTCCTTTTAAAAAATTAATTATTGTTGTATTGTCAGGAATCAGCTGTCTGCAAGAGGTTAGAAGTGGAGGGTTAGAGGAGGAGGAGGAAGTGCCAGAGTAGCTTTCCTAGTTTAGCAACTCAAGAGCTCTACCTCCTCTGTTAGGCTAGTGGAGAACTGTTTCCTTTAGAGATGATACAGTTGTGTAGCCACATTTCTGTGACTCTCTGAACTTAATGAAGTTCAAGATAGCCTCTCCAACCAGCCCTACACTCCTCTAGTTCCTTCACTAGTTACTGCAACCGAGGGACAGAGCTTGCCTTCTAAGGCAATCCCCACACTTTTAGAGTATGTATTTTGCTGATGCTTTCTGAACTATGCCAACTCTGGATCCCCGAAGAACCTTCCATATTTTTATTCTCGTGCTTTCCCAGTACTTGTAACTTCTTTGATCTAACACCTATTGTAGCAGTTTCCTTGCAAGTGTAAACCAAAAATAAAATTTCAAGGCCCCCCAACCATCTGAATGGACTTCTTTCTCAGACAGGGTTTTGTTTGTTTGTTTGTTTGTTTGTTTTTGAGACAGAGTCTCACTCTGTTAACTAGGCTCAAGTGCAATGGCCTGATCTCAGTTCACTGCAACCTCTGCCTCCCGGGTTCAAGCAATTCTCTTGCCACAATCTCCCGAGTAGCTGGGACTACAGGCGTGTGCCACCATGCCCAGCTCATTTTTGTATTTTTAGTACAGATGGGGATTTTGCCATGTTGGCCAGGCTGGTTCCAAATTCCTGAGCTCAAGTGATCCACCCACCTCAGTCTCCCAAAATGCTGGGATTACAGGTGTGAGCCACTGTGCCCAGGCGCAGACAGGGCTCTTCTAAAGGTTACCAACTGAGAGACTGTTTCAGGCCATGACAGGAAGTGGGGGTCGAACATGCCTCATTATACCTCTCTGGCATTTACATCAACACAGACCTTAAGTCTGATAAAAAAATATTACAATAAATTCTCTCTGAAGCCTTGTACTTAAAGGATTCCTCTGCAAATAAGAACCTAGGTCTCCACAATCTTTTATCTTAACCCAGACATTCCTTTCTATTGATCCCAGGTTGTTGGGGGAAGTCAGGGACCCCAAACAGAGGGACTGGCTGAAGCCATGGCAGAAGAACATAAATTGTGAAGATTTCATGGACATTTATTAGTTCCCCAAATTAATACTTTTATAATTTCTTATGCCTGTCTTTACTGCAGTCTCTGAACATAAATTGTGAAGATTTCATGGACATTTATCACTTCCCCAATCAATACTCTTGTGATTTCCTATACCTGTCTTTACTTTAATCTCTTAATCCCGTCATCTTCGTAAGCTGAGGATGTATGTCACCTCAGGACCCTGTGATGATGGCATTAACTGCACAAATTGTTTGTAGAGCATGTGTGTTTGAACGATATGAAATCTGGGCACCTTAAGAACAGGATAACAGCGATTTTCAGGGAACAAGGGAGTTAACCTTAGAGTGTGGCTGCCTGTGGGCCGGGCAGGACAGAGCCTTATTTCTCTTATTACTGAAAACGGGTAGGAGAAATATCGCTGAATTCTTTCCCCAGTAAGGAATATTAATAATTAACAGCCCTGGGAAAAGAATGCATTCCCAGGGCGGTGCCTCTAAAATGGCCACCCTGGGAGTGTCTGCATTTTGCAGATGTAGATAGGGATGAAACACCCCCTGGCCACCTGCACTGCCCCCAGGCTTGCTAGGATTAGGAAATTCCAGCCTGGTGAATTCTAGTCAGACCAGTTCTCTGCTCTTCAACCCTGTTAAGATATTTATCAATGACAATGCCTGCACAGCAGGACGTGGAAGTTCATTAGTGATTCTAGTTTCTCCCTGACCATGTGATCTCGCCCTGACCTTCTGCCTTGTGATCTTTTGTTGCCCTTAAAGCATGTGATCTCTGTGACCCACACCCTATTCGTACACTCCCTCCCCTTTGAAAATTGCTAATAAAAGCTTGCTGGTTTTGCGGCTCAGGGGGCAACAGAGAACCTGCCAACATGTGATGTCTCCCCTGGATACCCAGCTTTAAAATTTCTCTCTTTTGTACTCTTTCCCTTTATTTCTCAGACCGGCCGACACTTAGGGAAAGAGAAAAGAACCTACGTGAAATAACATTGAATTATCAGGGGCAGGTTCCCCTGATACCAGGTCTCTAGAGAAACTCACCAATTGTCACCCACAAAATTTAAAAATCTACCTATAAGCTAAAAGTCCCCATTTTGAGTTGTCCTGCCTTTCTGGACCAAACCAATGTATTTCTTATATGTATTTGATTGAAGTATCATGTCTCCCTCAAATGTATAAAACCAAGCTGTGCCCCAACCACCTTGGGCACATGTTCTTATGATCTCCTGAGGGCTGTGTCATGGGCCATGGTCACTCATATTTGGCTCAGAATAAATCCCTTCAAATACCGAGTTTGACTCTTTTTGCTGACACAGGGTAGAACACTTCCCTTCTGAGGGAGTAATTTTCTGGAGATTTCTGAGATGTACCAGGACTGACTCTTCCTTGCTTTCCGTTCTTCCCTGATGCTTCCCACCTGGATTCCTGCAGGGTTTTGCTGACTTCAGCTGCTCTTGGCAGCTCTTACATGTAAATGGAGTTAGCAGGTTTTTCGGTCTCCTCATTTCACTGTAAACAAATTTTGTGACTCTAAAAAATTCCTTGTGTTTTTCTGTGTGGTTTTTAAGAGGAGCTGAAGGAAGATTCAGAATGAAGCAGGATTTCCTACCAGAAGTCCTACAACTGTGTCCAAAAAAAAAAAAAAATGCTGCCATTGTACTCATTTCAAACTCTGTTTTCAATCTTTCAAAAGACATGTGAAAAATGAAGTTGGCCTGAGGTTTGAGGCAGATGTTTTGACTGATTTGTGCTCATCTCAGTCAACTGTTTTCTCAAGGGGTTGGGAGCAGACTGGTGCGGTAGGAATTGGTGCACATGGCAAGCTGAATCCTGAGGGTGAACAGGCAAAGCTTTTACAGAGCCAAATCTGATACATGATTATCACAAATTCTTGGTGGTTTTCTTCAGTTAATCATGGCAAGAGAAGTCAAAGGGACAGAGAAAGAGGGGACACCTTGGAGCTTTACCATTAAGCCTGTGAAAAGAAGTAGAAGGTGCCAGAGGGGAATGAGTTCTGAGCCTAAGTGGAGCCAGGAAAAAAAATCTCCCTCTGCCAAGAAAAGCAATTACATAAAATTTGGTTCAGAAATACAACTTCAGAACTGTGCAATCTGAAGAAAAATGTTACCATAAATTTGGAAACCAAGCATAAGTCAAATTGCAATTGATAAGAAATTTTAATGTAAAGAGGTATCATGTTATTCATTTAAATCTTGCTAAATGTGGTAGCACTTGAATTTAGCTAGTAAGTCTTTTTTTAAATATCATATGATTATGGAAAAGGCTTAACTGTCTGGATTGTTAAACTTCATCACATCTCTGGGTTATCCATCCTGAAATCACTGCTTTACTATGCTTAGCTGAATGACCATCTATGTAGTGACAATGGCCAGAATTGCAAGGCTTGGATCTTGAAAGAATCAACAGGTCTCTTTGGCAACAGAAATGTCAGAAAGTGTAGAAAAACCATAAGACCCAAAGGACTATAACCCCAATGGCTGGATTTTGGACATCCTGACATAGGGCAGATGGTATTATTTTGATCAAGATACTCTTTCCAGAATCCCTCAAATCACAGTCCAGGGGTTATCCATCACTTTGTGCCCATAAGTCTAGCCCCAATAACCCTGACGTCCCTGGCCAAACACATTATCAACACATTCCATAGACTGCTGTGAGTTGGTGCCAACTCAACAGCAGGGAAGTGTTGCTGAAATGGATCTCCCGACTCCTGGGATTTTTTTCTGCTTTGCAAACACTGTAATGCTTGACTTTATTATAGGGATTAAGACCTATGATTTAAATGATGTAACATCAACAATCCTCTGTTAATCCAATAATGATTCAACAACTGTTTTTTAGATCCTTTGATTTAACAAAATGTAATGGGATAGTTTTTAAATTCCTGAATTCCAACTACATTAATTGCTATACTTCAAGTGCAGCTGTCGAGACTTTAATCCTCCTTTACAACAGTGGTATTGAATTGAATTGAATTATATTAAATTACTCTGAATGTAATAGTGACTGTTCATTTGTTTGTGCTGTATTACTTTTTAAAAACATATTTTTATTTTGGAAGCAATCAAACTTTGAGGTACAGACAAGATTGCTTGTGTTTTTTCTTATAAACTTAAAATATAGGAAATAAAATAACACACTGGTGAAGCAAGTAGTGGCAGTTTCTAAATATTTTTCTTTCAGGGACATTTGCCACCTTTTAATGGTAAGTGATGTATTTATAATGTTTGCTGCTTTTCAGCTGCATCCATAATCATTTAAAATTAGATGGCATAAATATTGCTCTTCCATTATTAAATTGAATCTGCATCAATACATTGTGAGTTGCAAAGCAGAGGGACAGAAGAGTGGGAATAATGACTCAAATAAGTGTTGCTTGGAAGACAAAAATATAAGAGAACATGAAGTAGTGAGATTCTATTGTGACTAGGTAAACACTAAGGATAATGCATTCATTATTTCTTAAAGTACAGCACTATGGCAGGGCTCCTGGGTGTCATCAGCCTTTGAGTCAGTCTTTCCTTCATTGTACCCCATTGGTCCAGCCCCTAGCAAAATGTTCATGAAGCCACCTGCATGACATACTCCAAGCTCTCTTCTGAAGGAAAACAGCTCTAGAGGTTCTCGGTGCACTGAGTTACTACATCTTGAGCCATATTCAGAGAGTATAACCAGCTCTGCTACCTTGGTCACCACTGATTGACCCAGGACTGTTGCCTAAGCCAGCATCACTCATGGGTAAGATTGGGCATGAAAGAGACCAAAAACCTCCACTGGACTCTGGCTGAAATCTTGGCATCAAGGGCTTTCATATGGAATGGTAAAAGACTGACTCAATCAGATTATCTTTCATATGAAGAAGGAGTTCCCACAGTATGCAGGGATGGAAGGTGTATTCCAAAGCGTGTAGAGATGTTGTTCTTCTCCTTGAGGCCTCTCTAGCCAAGTATGAGGTAGGTGGGACCAGGAGTGATTGCACAGCCAAGAAGGAGATGACAATTCATGCCAATTGACATAACCCTGAATCACAAACCCTTATCACAGAGGTAACCTGGGTACCTCTGCTTCTTGTAATCTTAAAAAACCCAACTTATACATCGTAATTTGGACCTCTGCTTGAAGGTTTCTGTCTAGTGTTCCATTTTTCCCTCTCAGTTCAGAGATAGTATGAGAAAGCAGAAAGAGGACAAGCTTTGGTGCTCCCCAAATGGGCTGTAGTTCTAACTCTGCTACTTACTAGATGAAAGCCACGGTCAAGCCTTCTCTGACCTTCAGATCCCTTACCTCTAAAATAGAGATAACTCAAGGGAAAGAAAAATTACTGTACCAAAAAGACACCTGCACCCATATGTTTATTGCAGTACTTTCACAATAGCAAAGTCAGGGAACCAACATAAGTGTCCATCGATAGATGACTGGATAGAGAAAATGTGGTATGTATACAACATGAAATACTACTCAGCCTTTAAAAAGAACAAAATCATGTATTTTGCAGCAACATGGTTGGAGCTGGAGGCCATTATCCTAAGTGAAATAACTCAGAGACAGAAAATCAAATACCACATGTTCTGTGGGAGCTAAACAATGGGTACACGTGGACATATAGAGGGAAAAAAATTGACATTAGGGACTCCAAAAGGGGGAAGGTGGGACGAGGAGGAGAGTTGAAAAATTATCTATTGGGTACAACATTAAGTATTTGAGTGGTGAGTATACTAGAAATCCAATCCTTACCATTGCAGAATATATCCATGTAACACACATGCACATGTACCCCCTGAACCTATAATAATAATAAAAAAATAGAGATAGGCTGGGTGCAGTGACTCACACCTGTAATCCCAGCACTTTGAGAGGCTGAAGCGGGTGGATCAATTGAGGCCAGAAGTTCAAGACCAGCCTGGCCAACATGGCGAAACTCTGTCTCTACTAAAAATACAAAAATTAGCTGGACATGGTAGCTCATGCCTGTAATCCCAGCTACTTGGGAGGCTGAAGCAGGAGAATTGCTTTTACTCAGGAGGCAGAGGTTGCAGTGAGCCGCAATCCTGCCACTGCACTTCAACCTGGGTGACAGAGTGAGACTCTGTCTCAATAAAATAAAATAAGGCAAATGTAAGCATGCTTTATTGAAAAAATAAAATAAAATGGAGATAATGTATAAATAACCAGTCCTACATAGCCCTCCACCAAAATAATTTAAAATAATGAACACTTTCTTCAGCTATAAACTGATGTACAAATATTGTCATTTTATCCCTTAGCTAAACTATACGTGTCTCTGTTACCGTGATTTATTTACTTTTATCTTCTGTGCTGCATAATAATATTTGGGATCACCAGGCACGTTTCACAAATGCCTGTTGTGTGCATCACTCATTATAACTATGGGCCACGTGGGCCCTTCAAAATGGATCACATTCAAAGGAGAGTCTGATAGGAATTCAAACCTGATATTCACATTTCTTGAAGAAGACAAAATTCAAAGGCAACTGTTGCTAAAATTCTCTTCCTCTCATATTTTTTAACACCCTGCATCTCCCAGGGCCTGTCACTCACCTCCTTTCCTCCATTTTCTCTACTTTCCAGCCATCTGTTTTTCTTCCCTTTCCCAACCTCCACCCCAAGCGCGTCATTGTCATCACACCCCTGCATACTCTCCAAGTGCCAGCTGCCCCCTACAGAAGAGCGTCTGGGAAAGAAAATTCCATATTACTTTTCACTAGTGTTTCATAGGGATGGGACATTTAGCCTCCAACCCATTTTCCTAATTCTGCCTCACAACAAATCATAGGACCAGTCAGTGAATTCTCAAGAGGAGAGGGAGGGGAAAGAAATGAGCAGTAGCAGAAAGAGAATTGAATTTATTTGGTGGAGAGAAAAGCTGGGAACACTCACCTCTATTTGCATTTCTATCCTATCTCACAGAGAAGGATGAGATAAAGAAAAGGCAAGTCAAGAGGCTGCATTACATTCCTACTGGGAACCAGGCTCTGTTGTTGATATGCTAGAACTGAACTACATCATCATTGACTTTGGAAGCTTTGTGCCTCAGTGATCTGCGTGATCTCATACATATCCCAGAAAGTGTTACAGATGCTCAAGGCAATAATAATAGTGAAGTGTGTTCACAAGATCAGTCTGAAAAGGGTATGCAGAGAACAGGAATTGCTGAGATCAGAATGATTTCAGGATGTCTTTAGGGACTGGATGATACCTGTAACAATAAAGCTTTCATTGGGATAGAGAATTTACTTTGTGGTTGGCAAGCAGAGAGAAAATAAACTAATTTGATGGAACTAAAAATCTATAAAAGTTTGGCATCTCTCCCTCTATAATTTGATAGGTGGAGAAATGTAAATTTTTTGGACCAGAAGCTGCTGAACTATCACTTTTGGCTCTATTTAAATGAATTTTGCAGCTCCTTCATAGGTGGTGCTCAGGTAGAAAATTTTTAGAATTACGGAAGAAAGTGCTACGTGAACAAAGGCCATAGACTGAGTACCTGTGCTGGTACCATCCTTCAGTTCAACCACTCTTGTTGTAAACATGTTAAAGTCAAGTAAATTCACTGGAATCTATGGAGGAGTCACTTTATACCAAGCACTGTAGGAGATACTAAAATCATTTTTAAATAAATTTTATATATATTTATATAAGTGTATAATTTTTAAATAAATAATACTTCTTAACAATGCCCTAATATGGTGATTGAGACTATTTAAAAGGATATTAAATATAAAATGATAAGCACATTACCTGATACAGAGTAGGAGCTTAATAGATATTTGGGGATAAATGAATGAACTATAAAAGAGTGGGTTAGCCTTGTTACTCTCTAAACTATACAATTTTTTTTTTTAACTTTCCGAAGTAAATCTGGGATGTGAGTCAAGGGTCATGAGTTCTGAACTGAGATCAGCTCCCAAGGTTAAGTTATATAATGATTTAAAATGTAGACCCTGGATTCAGATTGTCTGGCCTAGAGCAAATTGCTTTACTCCTTCATCTACTCTTCACTTTCCTCACCTGTAAACAGGGATAGCAACAGAGCCTACCTCATGTTGTTAAGACCATTTGGAATTTCTACCATCATCAAAAATCAACTCCCATTTAGAACAATTGCAATCCTACCCAATCAGCTTTGTTCTTTTCCCCATCAATCAGGTCCAGATGCTTCCCTTTCAATCAGCAAAGACCATACCATGCTCATAGTCCTGTTGGGTCCCCTCTTCTGCCATAACATATTGCCTTTCATGAAGAGCTCTGAGTCAGTAGCCTGGCCCCACAGTCCCTTGGTCTCTCCCATTCTAGTGACATTCACCTCTATTCTGTATCTGCCATCAATTCCTGTGGTCACAACTTATCCATTACTATTTTCCAGATATTTTTCTCTAAAACTTTTCATTCTAGGAGTCCCCCTTGCTCTACAACATTTTATTCTCTCAGATCTTTTACACCTCATCCTGCTTTGCCTGCTGTTTGACCTCTAAGATGCCTCAATACGTTTCCTCTCCATTTGCTCCTGGTCAAGCAATTATTTATTCATTCTAGTGCACTGAGTCCTTACTACATGTCAGGCATTGTTCTTGGTCCTGGGCTTACAAAGATGAACAACACAAAGGAGTCCCCTGTGTTCAAAGGGTTTATGTTACTAGCAAGGAAAGAAAAACCAATAATAAAATATCAAGATAGCTTTAGCTAATGATACATGCTATGCAGAAAATAAAACAGTGATTTGGTGGAGAGAACGGTGAAGCCTAAGAGAGAAGGAGCAGCTAGCCATGAGATTTAGGGAAAGAGAGTGATCTAGGGAGTGAGACCAGCAAGTGCAAAAGCCATGAAGTAGAATAAGCTTAATGTGTCCTAGAAATAGGAATAAGACAAGATAAAATTGGAGTATAGTGGATGAGGAGAAGTGTGGTAAAAGAAGAGAGGGAAAATCATGATTGAACCTGTCAGTATTTGAGGATTCACCCTTGAATAGTCTCTCTTCCTCACCACCAACGCTGAATCAACAAGTCCTGCAAATTTTACCCACATCCTCAATATTTTTGCGACGATGCCTCCTCCACTCCATCCCTTATATTAGTGTTCCACTTGAAGATCTCATCATCTCTCATCTGAACTCTGGTGAGAATCTCCTAAATTGGCTCTTGCCTTTAGTCTTACCTTTTCAAATGCAATCTTGAGAGTCAATTGATCTATTTAAAATGAAAATCTGATTCTGTTATTTTCCATCATCTATGGGAAACAAAAATCCAACCTTCTTATGACAACAGAAAACTCTTCATAGTCTGGTAGTACAGTGTAATGGTTTAAAATATGGGTTTTACAATAAAATGAAATACAATTCCAGCTCTACTCCTTACTTGTTGTGAGGTTTTGGACAAATCATTTCATCTTCCTGTGCCTCAATATCCTTTTCTGATAAATAGGGATATAATAATAGTACTATGATCATGAGCAGACTCTAAGACTGCTCCAAATTGTTTTCACCTCTTGATACTCCCAACCTTGTGAAATATACTCCTCTTGAGTGTCAGCAAGATGTGTAACTTGTTTCTAACCAATAGAATATAGCAAAGATGATGAGTTATTGCTTCCATTGTTATATAACATTGCAACATCAGTCTTCTGGGAGACTATCCTTTGCTCCCTTTGAAAAGCGAAGCTGCCATGTTGGGAAGGCCCACCATGACATAAGAAACTAATGGGGACCTCCAGTGGACAGCCAGCAAGAAACTGAGGACCTCAGTCTTACAACCTTAGGAACTGAATGCTGACAACAACCACATAAACTTGGAAACAGATCCTGCCCCAATCAAGCCTCACATGAGACTGCAGCCCCAGCCAACACATTGATTGCAGCCTTCTGAGACTTGAAAACAGAGAATCCAGATAAGCTGTGCCTGGAATCCAGACCCACTGAAAGCGAGATAATAAAAATGTGTTTTTTTTAAGCCATTAAGGTTGTGGTAATACTGTTATGCACCAATAAATAACTAATACAAGTTCCTACCCAGAACAAAGATCATTAGTGCTCACCAAATGCACATGTGCTTCTCTTCATCTTCCTTCCTCTCTTGCAGTGAAGTTGGGAATATGTGATGTTCTACCCCATAGATTGTGAGCAGAAGTGCTTGGAGTCCACATGTTCTGGGTGTCACAGGCTGCATGACCCACATTGGACCTTGTGAGATGAAAAATATATCTCTATTGTGCTAAACCAATGAGAATTGAGGGCCTATATATTATTAACCCTGCATTAAAAACCTTGATTAACAAAACCACGCTGCAAGAGTTATTATAGGATTGACCAAAATGGTGTACAAAAGAAAATTGCATGTCGTACAAATCAAAACTCAATAAATGAGACCACTTTAACTTTTGGTCCTGTCTTGTATTCTGTATGCCTATACTTTTGAGCTATATTTTAATTTTACAAGCACCCCATGTCACCTCAAGCTCTTTTGCCATTTCTTCTTCCTTAAATGCCTTGCCTTGCCTTACACAACCTTCAAAATTTGACTAAGGTAGCACCTTTCCTAGGTTAGGTATGTTCCCCTTTTCTTTCCATACCAGTTCATTCATTCCCTCACCCAACACCGTCCACACGGTACTCACCACCTCCCTGGACAGATGGTGAGGACCTTGAAGACAGGAATCAGAGACTCATCACATTTTAGGAACTTGATAAACGTTTGTTGTTTACTATGTCACATTTACATCCTTCCTTATTATATAACTAGTTGAACTTCATTTAAAAAAACAAAACAACTTTAAACCATTTCCTTTCAGGATTTTCCCAAAGAAAACCTCCAGGCATATTCTTAGAATGAAAGCTCTTTATATGAAGAATATTAATTTCCCATTATTTTCCATTGCTCTCTACTTTAGACTGAATCCCAGTACTCCTTTTAATCTTTCTGTCACAAATTTAATTCTCAACCCCTATAATCATGTTTCCAACCTCTCTCCTTATTTGTGAAGTACAGAATTTGCACAGAGTGTTGCGGAACGAACCTATTCATGACCAGGGAAATGGTTGGCCCTATAATCTCTGCTCTGTGATGTTTTTTTTTTGTTCTTAAACTGAATGGTGCTCTCTTACTCAGCTGCTTGTCTCTAGGACCCCAGGATCTATCCATCTTACATTTG
Organism: Homo sapiens; assembly: GCF_000001405.40. Taxonomy (NCBI): domain Eukaryota; kingdom Metazoa; phylum Chordata; class Mammalia; order Primates; family Hominidae; genus Homo; species Homo sapiens. The sequence goes on along the minus strand of NC_000012.12, from coordinate 29,875,602 downwards.
TGGACTCTTTTACCTCTTCTCCCTCTAGTTTCCCAGATTTCAGGGAAACTTGCTGAGAGGATGCTAATTTTGTCTCTGCATTTTCTCTAATTGAGATATGTCATTTGAAATTCTAGTTCTGAACTTTAGTGTGCTTCTTCCATACCTTCATGCACTTGCTAATAATGAAAAGAATCTCTCTCTTGGGCCATCAGTGGAAAAGATTCAGCTATACTGAGCTCAATCCCTTTATGTCTCAACTCCGTACCTCTAAATCCCAGGCCTAATGGTAACTGCTAAGTGTGACTCACAATGTTGTCAGTAGCTTAAAAAACAAGATGTGCAAATTAACCTTATGAGTTTATTAGGGTATAAGACAGCAATTCTGACTTTTTGCTGCATTTCATTTTGGCCTTGGATGTGGCAGTACTTTCCTACCTACAATGCATTTATTTTCTTAGGCACTATTCACATTAGCTGTGCATTCTTAATAGAGTTCTCTGTAGACATGACATGGCCAGTAGCCAGCGAAAAGAGAAAGTATCTCTCATTTGGAAAATTGCTTTCTATATATGATAAATGTTTGCCAAGTATCATTTATCCCAAAAGCTCAGATGTATCTAAGAGCACCTACATCAGGCCCTGGGAGTTTAATAATGGTACAATATTATCTTTAATAATACTTATTATTACGAAAATGATGCCTTTAAGTTAGCACTCTCCAATTTTCACATATATTATTACATTAGATCATTGTAGAAATCTTGTGCTTAGGTGTACAGCCTAATTTCTATTTTAAGATGGAGATTCAGAGAGGACTTCCTCACATTCTCACAGCCAGAGCAAGTAGCAAAGTCGAAAAGAGTACCCAGTATTTTCCACCCGAAGCCACTTCTCTTTTCACACAATATAATTTGTTCACTATCTTCCCTATAGTCACTAATAACCTTTACTCATATGAGTCTTAAAAATAAAATCATTTGCAAGTCGCATTTGATTTTATTACTATGGATTCCAGCCACATAAACATCTAAACAGTGATATACTATCTTTCTCAAGATCTCATTTAATTGGTAGAAGTGCCCTGTGAGTTATTATATCCTTTTTATTTAGTAATAATAAAAGAGCAAGCAGTTTTCGACTTGCAAGGCAGTAATTTAAACACTTTACAGAACTCGAGTCATTTAATCTCCAAACAACCCTATGAAGTAGATACTATTATTACTTTACAGTTAAGGAAACTGAAGCACATAGAGGTTATATAACTTTCTTAAGGCCACACAGCAAGGAAATAGCAAAGGAAGAGTTTTAACCCTTTATCTGGGTACGGAGGCCATGACCTTAAGCATGACTCTGCCTCTCACAGCAGAAGCTAAGTAACTTGGCAAAGGCCACATTACTGGGAAGGGATAGTGTTGGGATTTGGCTTTGTACCTGGGTCTCCCTGGCTGCAGACCTCACACCACCTCTATTTATATTCCACTGCACCGCCCTATTGGTCTATACCTTACCTGAGCTGTGTGTTTTCCTCCAAAGAGCTTTTGATGTAAACAGGGCCCCCAGACTCTAATGCTAAAGAAACAAGTGTAGGGGGAAACGCTCCTTGGCAATAGTATTGGAGTAAACTCTGTTTTTCCTTAGACTGATTAGCTGCATGTTTAAAATTTCCAAAAGTAATTGCCTTTAAAAATTGGTTAAATCTGGAAGAGGGTGGGAGTCTTCAGGCTGGCAGCTGTGTGCAGATTGTTTGAGTTTAATATATTTATAGAATTTCTGTCTGTCACCAGGCCTCTGGGAATACTTGCACTATTTAAAATATAAATCAAAAAACTATGCTGACGTAATCGTCTGCCCCAAGGAATTTTCCCCTAATCAGAGTCTTAATGGCAATGTAAAAATTCCCATTTGGCTCTCCTTCCCTAAGCAAAAGTTGCAATACTCAGGTGAAACTTGAAAGTTACCTTATGCTTAGAAGTTAGCAAGAAATGCTTCCTATCAACATGAAGTCATTTCAGACTAGAGTTCCCTATAGGCAGCGTCTCCATCGTTCTTCTGCTGTTCTATTATCTAGGAGCATCTGACTCCCCCGCCTGCAGATTCCTACGGTTTGGCCATGGAGTCCCCTTCTTAGACGTCTTCAATGGCTCCTGTGCCCATTTCTAAGGCTGTAGGACTTCTTTAGGATCTAGATCAAGCCAACTCCCCTGGCCTCCTGTCTTCCCCTCCTCTCCCTTCTCATAGGTCCCCTGTGCCCGCCATGTTCGTCTCCTCTGTGCTCCCCACCACCGTTCACTTCCTGCTAGTCCCTGGGATTCACTGCATCTGTGCTTCTGCTCTTGCTTTAAGAGCAAACAGAGCATCCCCTCAGATGTGACATGTTCCAATTCACAAAACCATTGGCACTTCATCTGTAAGCTCCAGAGTCCTTTTCACAGAGTCTCCATTGTTTTCGGTGCACATTATATCCCCTGCTAACCCAAAGCTCTAGGAGGGCAAAGATTCTGTGATGACAGCGGTCACGCACCTGGTGCCCTACCTGGCAGACGCACTAAAGGCCCTCAATTAATGGTGGTTTTCGCTTCTTTCTCCTGCTACATTAAAAAATAGTTTCCCACAATGCCTCGCTTATAGTAAGTGATCAGTAAATATTTTTAAATAAAGGGTGTGTTGTGGCAGACATCATTAAGAATCTGAAACAATTGGGTTTTTAAAATTTTCTAGACTCAGATTTTCTTTCTGGGGAGTCCAAAGCCTAGATAAGAGAAAAGTACTCTTCTCACAGCAGCAGGGTGTGCCTGTTAAAATGTAAGTCGGATCCTGATAAAGTTCTAACTCCAGAACACATCAGTGGCTCCACATTCTTACTGTGCCTAAAGGGCACAGTCCAGACCCACCCTCTCCAACCTCACCTCCTACTTGTTACACCCTTTTGCAGTCAGCCCCAGCCACTCTGGCCTCTTCCATGCTCCCTCCACACCATTGGTATAGTTCTGCCTCAGGGCCTTTGCACATTTTACTCCCTTCCCAGAATACTGTTCTCCAAGATAGCTACATGGCTCTTCCCCTTCCCTCACTTAAGTCTTCTCGTAATGTCACCTTCTCAGTGAGGTCTTTCCTGGCTATCCTACTTAAAATTGTACACACACCCATGCATATGCACGCATGCACACATACACACACATGTACACTCTTTATTCCTTCTTCCACATTCTTTCCCTCAAAGCCCTTGTTTCCTAATAGTATACCATATATTTTATATTGTACGTTTTTCTCCACCTTTCTTCTAGTACTATGAAAGTTCTCCAAAAGCAGTGATTTCTTTTTTATTTTCTGTATCCGTAGCTTAGAATGGCACTTAACATGTAGCAAGTCATCCATAAATATATACTTACTGCAATAATGAATGAAAGCAATCAGCTAGTGAGATACCAATTTCTTCTAGTTCTCTAAAGAGATCACTCCTCTCATTTGTGGTCTTCTCTGATGACTGTAGTCTCCCAATCACTTCAACTAATGAGCCAAGTTTGTATTGCATTAAAATAAATGTTTTTTCTCTTCCTTTGTGTTTAAACACTGTTACCTAATTTTATTGTTACAGTAACTACTGAAAAAGAAGGCTGGAAAATTTTTACTAAAATTGTATGAGAAGTTATAAATTCAAGGAAGGCCAAGTGGATGTAAAGCAGAATAAGATATACTATAAAAATGCACTTTCGCTGGGCGCAGTGGCTCACACCTGTAATCCCAACACTTTGGGAGGCCAAGGAGGGTGGATTACGAGGAGTTCGAGACCAGCCTGACCAACATGGTGAAACCCCATCTCTACTAAAAATACAAAAAAATACTTAGCCGGGCGTGGTGGTGAGCACCTGTAATCCTAGCTACTCAGGAGGCTGAGGCAGGAGAATCGCTTGAACCCAGGAGACAGAGGTTGCAGTGAGCTGAGATTGCGCCATTGGACTCCAGCCTGGGCGACAGAGCAAGACTCAGTCTCAAAAAAAAAAAAAAAAAAAAAAAAAAAGGAAAGAAAGAAAGCACTTTTATTCATCAATTCTTTCAAAAAGTATTTACTGAGAACTCACTATATTCCAGGCCCAGTTCTAGGGGCTAGAGTCACAGCAGGGAACAAGCCTAATCTCTGTCCTCATAGAGCTATGTCCATAGATAACCATAGATAATTAACCAATAAGCACATGACTCATGTTGACATAAAGACTGAAAATAAAATGAATGTGATGTGTGAAAATCAAGAGTGATAGGATCTATTTTATACAGGGTGGTCAGGAAAGGCAGAGTCTGGAGAATTTGAGCAGTGATCTCAACAAAGAAAAGAAGAAAGTCATAAGATGATAAGAACAGAGGATTTTTTTGGCTAAAGCAGCTGTAAGTACAAAGTCCTTGAGATGGAAATGAGCTTGGTGCATTTGATAACCTCATCTCATTCAATGATAATAGTTTTGAAGGTAGCAACAAAGGTTAACTGAATCTGTCCATCTTGAGGGTAGAACAGAAAATGGGGGAAAGCAGCAGAAATCTGAGCAGGTCTCAGTCCCTCATCTTTAAAACAGATGAAATCGGCACCTTTCAAACATAGTCCTAGGAGTTGCAGCATCAGGATCACCTGGCAGCTCGTTAGAAAGGCAAATTATTGGGCCTCACTCCAGACTGATTGCAATCAGATATTCTGAGGATCGACCTTAAAAATTTGCATTTAAGCAAGCCTTCCAAATGGTTCTGATGCACAAAAGTTTGAGAAGTATTGGAATAAATGATCTCAAGTATTTAACTTTCAATGTTTTTATGAAAATGAAGCAACGAAGATGAACTAGATTGGGCAGGCTTCCTGCTGGGATAGCCAAGAGGAAAATATAGAAAACAAAACAGATTTGATTCCTATTCAGCATTCCTCCACCCTCCTTCTTAAGAAGCATTCTTTAAATCATTTCTGACCAGGGCACCTCCAGTTGTGTCCTTTTAGAAATCCTCTCTAAATGCACAAATTATGCAAAGATCTATAAATGCTTATAAGCAGCTTTAGGAAATGGAAAACAAATATAAGGCTACAGAAAATAGTATCTATGGAAGTTAGCTTACCTGTAGAATAACCTAGGCATACACACTTACATTTTATATTTTAGAGTTTTTCTTTTGTTTTGCTAATTTGAGCCCATGGTAGTTCAAGGAAATGATAAGCTCCTTGAAATTTTAGGCAAAATTTTTCATGTAACCTTACTTTTCAGAGGAGAGGGTTACACAAAATATTCAAAGAGGGCTACAACTTTAAAAAAGATTAAAAACTGCTGCCTAAAAAGGGTGGTTATCCAACTCTGGCCAAAAGTTAACTACAACTTGAAAACCAGCAACATTGACTTTCTTACCCTAGAGATTTTCAGCCTGAATTCAGACATGGAAAAGAATTAGCTTCGTGGGTGGCATTTTTCTTTGTATATACAACATACTCTTTTAAGACTTATAACCTCATAAATACCAATTTTATGCCTGTCAGTATTGTTTTGGCTTAAGAAGGTGGGGTTACAAATTCTGCTGGCCTCATTCCAGACCCCTCATCTTGCTTCCATGGCCTCTGTTGAAGACAACAGGCTTTAGATTCTAACTTAAAAATATTTGCACATAAAGACACACATACATGCACAAAGAATGTTACTCAAGTCCTTAATGCTCATTTCTTTTTTTTCCTCGATATGCAAAAACCCTCACCTTTTAAAATTTCATTGTCTTCCTCTCTGTTCTAATGTAGTTCTTAGTGTGGCTGGTGGCAGAATTTTCACCCTAAACAACCAAGCAGCATCAGCAGCCTTGGTGCTACTATGTGGTCATTTAAGAATTTTCTTTTAGGCCGGTCACCGTGGCTCATGCCTGTAATCCCAGCATTTTGGGAGGCCGAGGCAGGTGGATCACTTGAGGTCAGGAGTTCGAGAACAGCCTGGCCAACATGGTGAAGCCCTGTGTCTACTAAAAATACAAAAATTAGCCGGGCATGGTGGCATGTGCCTGTAACCCCAGCTACTTAATAGGCTGAGGCAGGAAAATTGCTTGAACCAGGGAGGCGGAGTTGCATTGAACTGAGATGGCGCCACTGCACTCCAGCCTGGGTGACAGAGTTAGACTCCATCTCAAAAATAAATAAATAAATAAACAAATACATAAATAAATAAATAAATATTATTTTAAGTCCTAGAGAGAGTTTACATGGAGAGGAACTTTATTGGGAAAGTGGTAGTGAAATTTTAAGGAGATAATCTGTATTGTTTGCAGGCTGATACAGGTGTCTCGTTGAATGCCTTAACTGGACTGATTGCATGCCTTATCCTTCTGTCACATTCTTCCAGATTATTGGGAAGAGAGATACAGTCAGGCTACCTCAGTTCATGGACGCTTATTGTGGGCATAGATGAAAAGAAGAAAAAAAAAACCCCAAGCTGCTGTATACGTAGAGAACTAGCACCCTCATTTGTAACTGTTTAGTTGCAGTCGGGTAGATCTAATGGTCCAACAGCCGCTGTTGCAGGTTGGGGGTCAGCAGGAGGCCAACCCCAGGTGTAGAAGTCCACTGCATCCCTGACTGTGCTCTTGCGTCTCTGGTCCCTTCTTTCCTGCTTTGTCTTTCTCTTGGACTACCCATAGCTGGCTGTCTCCTCTTCTCTTTATCAGTAAATAAAATTCATGGCTTTTATTTACTGCTTTCACTTCCTGTATTTTTACATCTTTACCACTCTCCTAACAGGCCATACTCTTGGTATGTCTTCAATTCAAGCATTCCAAATGAAAGGATCTGATTGGTTTGACAACACTCCCTCTCAGGTAAAATATTTCCATCGGGAAGAACTCTAGAAGCAGTCGTTTGGATGGTCAACCTTTGGCCAGGAGCCTCTCTCCTAGGTGAGTAAGTGTGGCTACATTATCAGGAATACATTATTTTGTGAATATTTTTACAATCCTAAAAAAGGAATAGTGGATGTAGCAACTGACTTCAAAATGTGCTATGCACATGGCATGCTGTGATAGGCAGGATATGGCTCCCAAAGGTGTCCAAGTGCTAATCCACAGAACCTGAAAATATTTTACCTCACATGGCAAAGGGGACTCTGTGAGTTTGATTAGGTTAAATATTTGAGATGAGTGGATAATTCTGGATTATCTGAGTGTGTCCAATGTAACCACAAGGGGATTTAAAAGGTAAAAGAAGGAGACAGGAGATCAGAGAGAGAGAGAGATTTGAAGATGTTACTCTGATGACTTTGAAGATGGAAGAAGAGGCAATAAGCTGATTAATGCAAGCAGCTTCTAGAAGCTGGAAAACAAAAAGGAAGACTTTCCCCTAGTGCCTCTGGAAGGGAGACCTTGCTGATACTGATACGTTGATTTAACCCGGTAAGACAGTGTATTAGTCCAGTGTCACACAGCTATAAAGAATTACCGGAGACTGGGTAATTTATAAAGAAAAGAGATTTAATTGATTCACAGTTCCATAGGCTTAACAGGAAACATGACTGGGAGGCCTCGGGAAACTTACCATTATGGCAGAAGGTGAAAGGGAAGCAGGGACATCTTAACATGGCAGAGCAGGAAAGAGAGATAGCGAAAGAGGAAGTGCCTACACTTTAAAACCATCAGATCGCATGAGAACTCACTCACTATCACGAGAACAGCAAGGAGGAAATCCACCCCCATGATCCAATCACCTCCCACTAGGCCTCTCCTCTAATTCGACATGAGATTTGAGCAGAGACACAAATCCAAACCATATCAGACAGTGTCAGACTTCTGACCTTCAGAACTATAAGCTAATAAATTTGTGTTGTCACTAAATTTGTGATAATATGTTACAGCAGCAATAGGAAACTAATACACAGACCCTCAAAATATTCTCCCTGGGAAACTCTCCTGTTTATAAAAAGAAAAGAAAATCTTTAATGGAAATTATAGACTGATACATCTTCACTCCATGCTGGGCATAGCTTATTTACCACTTTCCATAGTCTGTTCTCATCTTATGGCTTGGCTCTGGACTAGTCAGGAAGTGTTGATGTTCCTTGAAGTTTGATTGGAGCTGACACTGCCTGACCCCACCCACCCTCCCACTCTTACAGGGAGTGGGCATATAACCCAAACCTGGCCATTATTGTTGACCCGGCGATAAAGACAAAACATAACTATGAGACTACCTGGCAGGGCCATGGGAAAAGATGTTCTCTTTAACCAAGTGGAATATGAGTGTAAAGTATTCTGTTTTTTTTTTTTTTTTTTTTTTTTTTGTCTTTTTGAGACAGGGTCTGTGTCACCCAGACAAGAGTGCAGTGGTGTGATACTAGCTCACTGCAGCCTCAACCTCCCAGGCTCAAGTGGTCCTTCTACCTCAGCCTCCCAAGTAGGTGGGACTACAGGTACACACTACCATGCCTGGATAATTTTTTTATTATTACTTTTGTAGAGACAGGGTCCCACTATGTTGCTCAGGCTGGCCTCAAACTCCTGGGCTCAAGCAATCCTCCTGCCTCAGCTTCCCAAAGTGCATTGGTTACAGGCAGGAGCCACCACACCCAGCCTAGTGTAAAGTATTCTGTGAGCATCCTACTTGCTGTAGATAGTGAGCCGTCTGCAAAAGAAACAGAGATAGGGTCCTGACTTTATTGTTTTAGCTCCTGGATTGAGCTATGCCTGATGCCTGTTCCACTCGTGGTCTTCCTAGTTAAATGAGTTATACATTTAATCTATTGGTATATCCTGTTAGCTTTATTTTCAAAATATAGCCAGAATGTCTGTGTTGCTGTTTCCTAGTCTCATCCACAATCACCTCCCTGGGTCACTTCCATAGCCTCTTACACAGACTGCCTCTGTTGTTGCTTCTCCTCACTGTTCTCAGCCAGGCAGCCAAGATGATGCTCTCAGAATGTAACTCAGATCACGCCATATCTCCATGGTCTCCCGTTTAATTCAAGAGTAAAAATTGAACTCATTGCCATGGTGCACAGGGCCCCATGCCATGGACCCTCTTCTGCCCCTTAGCTCTCTAACTTCATATCTTCCAGGTCTTTACTCAGTGGTCATCTCTCCAGTGAGCCCTTCCAGAGTCAATCCATCCTCCCCCATGCTTTAGCTTTCCTCACAGCACTGTCATGATCTAACATGCTGTGTATTTTATTATTTTATCTTGGGACCACCATCAGCACATTTCATGCTTTGCTACAAATTATAAAACTGTGACTTTTCTCCAGGCTGACAATACAGCCCACTGGGATTCCAGGCTTGGCTAGAGAGGTCAGATTTGATTCCAGCCCCCAACTGCCCTTCTATCTGAGTGCTTGGCATTGGGCATTCTACAAACTGAAAAATGTATACTGCATCCTGGTACCTTTTGTCTGTTTCTCCCACTAGAATATATCCCACCTGAGGCCAGAGATATTTAATTTTGTGTGTGTGTCTTGCTAACTGCCCCAATACCTAGAACAGGGCATAGTTTATGGTAGGAGCTTGAGAAACGTTTGAGTCAATTAATAAGCTTATAATTTGTATTCTGTGCTTGAGCTAGCTAGCCTGACTTGGTTTTCTGTTACAACGAAGATATTCCAGATATACCCAAGCAATACTCAAATATTTATGTTGAACAGCATTAGTGATATAAATTGCTGTCCTCCTGACCAACTCATCTCATGGATATTTATGCTTTGAAAATTCTTTCTGATATCGAATGGAAAATTCTGTACATTCTGCTTCCTTGAAAATTCCATACATTTCTTACCTATAGATAGATTAAACAACATAGAATAAATTTAATTCTTCTTCCATATGACAACTCCACAAATATTTGAAGACAGCTATTATTACCCTTGCATCTGCTCTTTTCTCTGATTAAAAGCCCCTAATTTCCTCAATTTTTTGTGCAATGTTGTTTTAAGAAATCCTCACTCTCCTGGTTAACTTCCCTTGCATGTGTCAGTTTTTTTCTTATGTTCATCCAAAATCAGAACTCAATGCAATACTGACTAGGATTTGACCCATATAAAGTACAGCAGAGATGTCATCTCTGTTTTGTTTATTTTTGTTTTAGGGTTTCTTTTTTTTTCTTTTTTCTGAGATGGAGTCTTGCTCTGTCACCCAGGCTGGAGTGCAGTGGCACGATCTTGGCACACTGCAACCTCTGCCTCCTGGGTTCAGGCAATTCTCCTGCCTCAGCCTCTCTAGTAGCTGGGATTACAGGCATACACCACCACACCCAGCTAATTTTTTTGTGTGTGTTTTTAGTAGAGGCAGGGTTTCACCATGCTGGCCAGGCTGATCTCAAATTCCTGACTTCAGGTGATCCACTTGCCTTGGCCTCCCAAAGTGCTGGGATTACAAGCAAGAGCCACCACGCCCGGCCTATTTTTTAAGGTATTCTACTTTCATTAATGCAATTGATGGTTGAATTAACATTTTCGGAAAGTCAAAATACAATTGTAATCTATGTTGAGCTTGCCATTAATTAAATCCCCAACATCTTTGTCATGAAGGCTGTTGCTAAGCCATGCTATGTCAATAATTAAACAATGGACACTTTTGACCAAAACTGCCTGCACGCAAGTTTGGATCATGTATCTGTCTCTGTCCTTTGCAGCTTTGTGTCAGTTTCAGATTTTATAAAATTATTCTATTATCTTTATCCAAATCACTCCCTCTTATTTATTCTGCCCCCCTTTCTTTCATCTGAGGGTTCTGAGGAAGAAGGCATCTAAGCTGTTCTGTATTTGTATGGCAAGTCGCTCTTACCCATTCCAGGAATCACCTCATTTCCAAAACCCAGTGTCCTCCAGGCACCGCAAAATACCTGAGTTCCTGCCTTGATTCTATTTCCTGCTTCAGGAATTTGCTTACAGCCTCAGTCTTATCCTGCCTCTGTGCCTTGTTGTGATCTTTTCATGGTATTGGAGACTTTCTGTTTATCTTTCTCCTGGCAAAAGAAGACCTAGTACCCAATGGTAAACCATAAGAGACCAACATCTGTTTGCCAAGACTTCTGAACATTAGCTAACCCCAAGGTCCCCCAACTGTCTTCTGCCTCCTATTGGGATACTCACTATTTCTACTGAGAACCATACTCAAAACCATAATCAAACATTATTATTCTCTTTTATTTAGAACATGCCAAATGCATGAATAAGTACAAAAGATCGGGAAGACCCTACCAGAAAGGTAGGAGAAAACAGATATATTAGGACCAAGAAGGAAAACAATTTCAAAGAGAAAAATTGTCAACAATGTCAAATGTTGCAGAGAGGTTGAAAAATTTGAGCTCTAAGCAAAACACTACTGTGTTTAGTAGAGTGTCTGTGATATCTGCAGAGAGGCTTTTAATCCCCATCTTCAGTTCATTAGGGCACAATTACTGCACATCTTGAATACCAATTTAAAGCTGTATCCTTTATTGGATTGAGTGGATATGTGCTTGGTGTACAGCTACATAGACCTATCCCATCACATGCAGGTTTCCTATAGCAGGTGAATAGAATAGAAAACTTGAAATTACTGGCCACCTACAAATGACAGAATGAGTAGCTTCCATTGCTTACAGAAGAAAGGGAAACTCAGAGATCTTTCCTCTTATTTTATAGAATCAGGAAAGCCACAGGATTGTGAGAGATACAAAGGGTCCTTAGGACATCTCAGATCTACATGCAAAGGAAAACGCATAGCAGGAGTTCCTAACTGCAGGATCAGCATCACAGGCTCTGGTCTCTAGAAGATGCCCCCTGGAAACAGTGGCTTCCAGCTGGGTCATTATGGGTTAGAGAGGGAATGTAGCAGATGCTGATCACTTTCCTACTGGGCAGCATCTATTCTCTTCTTTGATGACACCAATCATCTTTTAAATAAAAGTGCCCTGCTCACCTAGCCAAGAGTGAGAAAGTGACTCAAACAGAACTATTGGAGTTTTTCCCAGAATTCTGAATCTTGATGCCAGTGTTGCAAAGACAGGAAAAAAACAACAACAAAAAATACCAGTTGATGTTCAGTCTTTGCTATGCTGGACTCTTGAGGTTGTCCTGGCTCCTTTCTCTTCCTAAAGCTCCCTCTCTACCTCTCTGCTTATTTTAAAAGCTTCCCTCAGTCCTACCAACATATTTCTTTCCTGTGTGATAGTCAGAGTTGGTTCTGTTGCTTGCAATCGGGGAAACCTGATTGACATAAACAACAATCCAAGAACTAGACTAACAACCCCTTTTATTCTCCCAACCCCAAACCCCACTTCCCTTGAGGAAGCCTGGAAAACAGGGACCCTGAGCACGTCCCCCACTTTTTTCCTCTGGTGTTAGGATTAAAGCAACTGCTTCTCCTCTGAAGTTGATTCTTTGCAAGCCACTACTCAGCCTTTTTTTCTCATGCATTATGGCTAAAGCCACAGCAGAAGACGGAAAACCTGAAAATTATTTGAATGTAAATTGAACTGAATTTGTAATGAGACAGAAATAAACACAAACACATGTTATCTGCAAAGGTTGGTAATGAAGTAAAGTTAGACCACACGACACACACACAAAAAAACATAATTTGTTCCAGAGAGAAATGTAGTGACAGATTTGCCAGAAACCCCAACTATAATGATCATGATCATTTTTTCTGGCCATCAGAGAAACAGCAAACTCTGAACAAATGCTGAGATATATTGCATTACTTTCTTTTTGTATCACAGTCAGACATTTCTGTTTATAGTTATATTTTTCAGCAGACCTTATTAATTAGCACTGCCTAAGCCAATCACCTAAACCTAAATCTGATTAACAGTCTGCAACTGTGGTAGGCCTTGGGACATGACAACTTTTCATGAAAGCTTTACCCTAAACTTCAATATCTGTTTGATCAGTGAACATCCAGAAGGCATACCCAGTTCTCAAGTTAATTAAAGGGTGTATGGTTTATCTTCCCAATAAACAAGTAAGCTTTGAGAAGACAGAAACCATGGTGCAGTGAAAAAAGCATAGACTCTGGAGCCAGATAGACCTGAGTATACGTCCGTGATTCACACTCTGCCATTTAACACCTGTATAAATACAGGCAAGTTACCTACCCAGCTATGCCTCTGTTTCTTCATCAGAATGTGGAGAAAACAATCAGTACCTAATTATTGAATATTTTACTCTATATTAGTTCCCATTTTAATTTATTTGGTTTCTTTTTCATAATGCCTGCTGTAGTGTTCTGCACACAATGGACATGACATAAACAGCCGGCACCATCCATTCTATAAGTATTTATTGAATACTATGTGCCAAGGACTGCAGTTGATCATGGGACACACTCATGAAAATAGCAGCTTTCAGTCAGCCTACATTCTCCATCACTGGGAAATATGGCTGTTGCTAGCTCTTCATTCATGGCCTTACATCATATAATACTGTCATCAGAATTAACTGGAACTTGCTCTCCCAGGTGAGATTCAAAGCATTCAAGAAGGACTCCAATTGATCAAATTTGAGTGAGGTCCCCACCCTGTTCCAATCAATTCTAGGAGTTAAACTTTTTTACTGACTGTCTCAACTTGGATCTGGGACAATCAGCAGTCTTTGTAACAGGACACAATTGGAACCACTGGGAATATTACCAATGTTTAGACAGGATTATGATTATCATATGTTCAGATATGACCAGACAACTTTAAGGAACTAAGGTGGACTTTATGGACCCAATAAAGCCCCTTGGAAAAAAATTGGCCTAGTACCTGGCTTTAAGGGTTTCCCAGCCTTACAGATTGAATAAGGAAGAACTAGGAAGATTAAAAATATTTTGAGGACCTCAAGAAGAGAGAAATTCACTCAAATTTATAGGAATTACAGGCAAAGTCTGATAGTAAGTTCTTGGCTTGGCTTCTTAGACTGGAAAGGCATTTAAAAGTTCAATCTGGGATTCCTTATTAAAAGTTCTATCAAAGCATATCTAAAAAAATTCTATACAGTCAATCATTATTTTCACTGTAATTTTGTAAATAATCAGGCCAAGCTTAATGAGACTGGTCCTATTTTGCAAACAAACTGGTTTTATTTTGATTATCTTTGATCGAAATGGGAGGCAGCTGTAGGAGAGAAAATTAATGTTTCAGTGGAAACTATACTGTACCCATTATCAAATTCTAGTCCTGCTCATTGTCTTTGAGACTTGCTATCCATAAACTACTCTGTTCCTGAAGCCCTACAAACTAGTGATAGATATAAATTTCATAAGACAACATCCATAACCTCTTATTTGTGGGCCAATCAGAGAGTTCACTGAAATGCTAGATGCCATAGACAGAGACATTCAGACTGCAAAACAGAAAATATGCTTTTAGCTCAAATCTAGAAGTCTTATCAACTAACTGCCTTCTGGACTTAGACTGAGCTTACAGTTTGTTCTAGCCATTAACCATTATCTTTCTTTGCTTATTTCAGTTCATTTTGTTCATGGGGGCCTTGGCCAAGGAGCGTATTCCAGTCTTCTTGTAATGTCCTCTTGGGTCATCACTGTGATCTCCCTCATGTTCTGTCTTCTCTCAAGGGTCTTAAATGCATGTTCATAGCCACCAACAGTATGCCAGATGGTCTCACTGTGACTAGAGTGACAAAAACAAAATGAACAACAAAAAGAATATTTCTTTAATGAGCCTGACATTGTGAATTATGGGTTCCACCCTCATAATTTAACACTCAGAAACATAATACTCAAAGACATAACACTCAAAGACAAACTAGCTATGATGGTGACAGAGAGTTGTGCTTATGACCAAGTTTTGGTCAATCTCTCATAGATGAGAGGCTGACTAAAAAGGGGAATTGTTAAAAACATTTAATTGGGAGGCCATTAGGATGAAACCACTCCAGTGCCTTGGGTTCCTATGTAAGCAAATGGAACCCCAACATAAACAGTAAAATAAAATTTAATTTTAAACAATGAGAAACTGCTAACTAGTCTCTGAGGACATTCCACCAGATTATATCCAAATAAGGCAAATGCCTAGCTGTAGCCAATCAAATAATTTATTTATTTTGCTTCTGCATTTGGCCTATAAAAGCCTACTGCTCATGCTGCAAAGTGAGGTTTTTCGAACCTTTTCTGATTCTGAGAGCTGCCTGATTCATGAATTATTCTTTGTTCCAAAAAAAACCCTGTTAAATTGAATTTGTCTAAAGTTTTTCCTTTAACAGCCATAACTACAAAGCAAGCGCAGAAAACTAAGGAACAGTGTGGGACTTAGAAAGGTTAGAGAAGAGATAAGACTTTAATTGGACCTCCAAGGATGATTTAAATAAGATTTGATTTAGTGAGAAAAAGAGGAAAAGGCACTTCAGAAACACAGCATGATGGGTGTGTTTATGTGAGAGGGTAGGGAAAAGTGATCCGAGTGCAAACAGACCTTACTGGAACAGTAAGGAAATTGTGGATAGAAAAGATGAAAACACGATTGGAGGCAGACTATGAGAACACTAAGAAACAGGTAGAAGAGTCTGTTCTGAATGTAATAGTGAATAGGGGGCATATAAGTTCTTAAGCAAGGGAGGGACACAAAAATGAATTTGGAAGGATTAATATTTACAATGGTGAAGAAACTGATCATGGAAATGTTATCTAGGAAGTTAGCAATGAGGCCCTGAAACAGTAGATTAGATAACAATTACTGATTTTTTGACAGATTGGATATGGAAGCTCTATTATTTCAGCAAACAGAAATTCAAAAATAGTTTCAGGGTTTCTATAATTAAAGTGATACAACTGGAATGTATTGGATGGAAGGGAATGGAGCCAGTCTGGTTTGGCTTGGTGGGAGTAACAAATTTCACTTTGATGTATTGAATTTGGGGAGATGATTTTGGGAGATGGCAGGCCTTCTGAAGGAAGATGATCAATAGACAGCTGGAAGACAAGCTGAAACTTGAAAGACAAGAGGTATTAGATGAGCTTTCAGGTAAAAGCTTAAAGTTTAATTTTAAGAAGCCAAAAGTCTGTTGATACTTTCATGTAACAAAAATGTATTGAGTCTTTACTAAATGTAAATGTCTGGACTAGGTGTTCTGTCAATACAAAGAAGGGTACAATTCCTGCCTTTCAGCCATTTCCCTTCAGTTGTGGGGATATGACAGGGAAACACATTACTATGATACAAAGCAGCCTAGGGCTTGTTTGTGTTTCTTAATATTTTCTAACTAAATGTGAGATTTACACTAAAGACAACATGAAAAAGTGTTCCCAAATATTATGGGACAGCAAAATTTGTTTTCAAGGGCTGACATGGCAACTGAGTTTGACATTTCCTGGAGAAATGTGCACTCGAGACTCTCTGAGTTTGGGCATTTTTAGGTAGCCTGTGATTGGCTCCAACAGCTTTTCAGATTTGTTATTATCTTTCCCAACATCCATGTGTGTAAGCTTCTTGGATAAAGATAGCTTTCATTTATGATACTTGTAATTTTTAGAATTAAATGTTCTGTGTCATTATCTCTTTTAATTATTGGAATAGCCCACACAAAGCAAGTCTCAAAATGATAAGCAACTAAGTTTAGATTACACAGACAACCTTTTACTCATCTCTCCATTTGACACATACTCATTAAGCACCTACTTCCTTCCAGACACTGTATTAGGCCCTAGAGATAGATAGTCCTTGGCCCTTACAGAACTTACAATCTGAAGGGCAAACACATGAACAAATTAATTACAGTACAGTGTTATACTTGTTATTTTAGGATAGGGAGCCAAGGGAATATGTATCAAGAGGATTCTAATCTGGTGTGTAGAGAAAGCTTCACTGAATAGGTAAGTGACCTTTAAGCCGAAACTTGAAAGACAAGAGGTATTACATGAGCTGTAAGGGGACAGAGTATTCCAGGCAAATAAACTAGAACATGTGTCTGCAAGCCTGGAAGTGAGAGGGGAACTGGCTAATTAAAGGAAATGGAAAAATTCTGTGTATTTGGATCATGGTATTGGCAGAAGAGAGTGGACCAGCTGAGCCCACAGGTTACTGAGCCAGGTTTACAACGTAGGCCTGTTGGATGCCAATGCTGCTCTCAACATCTCTCAGCAATGCCTGTTGAGGCTTGTAAAGAATCCAGACTCAACTGCTATTTTCACATGTCCCAAAAGCCAGAAAGAAATGGATTTCTCATTTCAGGATGATAGTGTAGTTTGACTGCACACGTCTGTAGTTTTGAATAGCAAGAATTAGTGTTTGAATATTGCTAATTCTGGAAATTAGGGCTTTCCATAAGCAACTCTGCTTTAAGATTTAGAGAAGTGAATTCTTGTGGGTTATAGGGGAATTCAGAGAAGATATGTCTGCTGGTTTCTCAAACTGATCATTTGAAACAACTTGCTGCCAGTGTTCTCTGTATAAATGACTATTTTAAGTTGGAAGTTCTAGTTTATATTATCGCTTTGTGAAAATTACTCACACTTTTAGAAGTGGCTTTTTTGAGAGCCGAGATTATCTATCAGTAAGAGAATCATATTCAGTCATTCTGATATCTTTGATCTAAATAGAGGGTTTAATTTGTAATGTTAATCTGATACTTTTTATAAGCTATACCTTGAAAGTATAGGTGTATTAGTCCTTTCTCATACTGCTTTAAAGAACTACCTGAGATTGGGTAATTTATGAAGAAAAGAGGTTTAAAGGTTTAATTGACTCACAGTTCCATAGGCTTAACAAGAAGCATGGATAGGAGGCCTCAGGAAACTTACAATCATGGCATAAGGTGAAGGGGAAGCAAGCACCTTCTTAACATGGTGGCAGGAGAGAAAGAGAGTGAAGGGGGAGATGCTATACACTTTTAAACCATTAGATCTCATGAGAACTCCCTCACTATCATGAAAACAGCAAGGAGAAATCTACCTCCATGATCCAATCACCTCCCACCAGGCCTCTTCTCCAATTTAACGTGAAATTTGGGTGGGGACACAAATCTAAACGATATCAATAGGTAAGAAATGATGCACCATATAGCACTATTCTATGCATTATCATTTAAAAATAATCAATACATAATTAATAGTGAAGATATGAAGATCTGTGCTTTTTTTTTTTTTTTTTTGAGATGGAGTCTCCCTCTGCCACCCAGGCTGGAGTGCAGTGGTGCAATCTCAGCGCACTGCAACCTCCGCCTTCCAGGGTCAAGCGATTCTCTTGCCTCAGCCTCCTGAGTAGCTGGGTTATAGGAGCTCGCCACCACACCAAACTAATTTTTGTATTTTTAGTAGAGACGGGGTTTCACCATGTTGGCCAGGCTGGTCTTGAACTCCTGACCTCAGGTGATCCACCCACCTCAGCCTCCCAAAGGATTACAGGCATGAGCTACCGCACCCAGCTGATCTGTGCATTTTTAAGAGCAATATTTATATTCAAGATTGAATTTTCATTTTACCCTTATAATTAGTGAATGGATCTAACAATGCAAATTCTCAAGGCAACTGTAGGGAAGACAAAGAAATTTCAGTCATTAATCATAATGTGAAACTAGACATAGCACAGAAAAAGAATTGAAATAAAACTCACTGAACCAAAAATAATCCATATTGGAAAATAAAGATTTGCCTAGTCAGATGTGAGATGGAAGTGATATTTGTTTTTCTGAGCTGTATCCTGACCTAAAATAGAAAGTAGTACTGAACAAAATACTATATATTTCCCTTCTGGACCAGTAAGTTGAGAATTAAAAGAATATGCTTCATATATTAGGAGCACTTCTCCAAAAAGTCTTACGTAATTTGAGTTTAAAGTTAAGGTGAAGTGATTATTCCTATTGGCATAGTTAAATAATATATTATGAGGATTAAATACAGGCAAAGATTTATACCCTAAGGGTAAATATAATATAAAATAAAAGGATGGCTATAACCTGAGGTTATTGAAATAATAAAACATATGATAAATGGATTATTCAAAGATTTCCATCATCAATCAGTTCTAGAAATGTTATCTTTGAAAAATCTTTTGTTTCCTAGAAGTGATTTCTAATTAAAAGTTTGGTTTATGATGGAAACATCATAAATGTAGAAGAGCTTGAGAAAATTGGGACTTGCCATAAGTAGATTTCCTCTGAAATTCCTGATAGCTATGGTGCTAAAGGAATAATGCACCAAGATTTATTTGCTTTGTTCCTCCATCTGTGAGGGTCCCTCGAATTCATATATTCATGGTTAATCTTTCCTTATTCGTTTTCCTGTCATTTAGACCTTTCCCAAATGCCTGAATTGTTTCCCCAGATATGTTTCCCAGTTGAAACCTCTGTGTCCAACTGCACAGCTTCCACCCTGTTCTCCATCAACCCCACCCTGGAAGACAGCCACCACCCTCTGTTTCCTGCCCATAGCCAGCACCAACCAACCCCATGCCATTCTGGTCTACAAACAACTTCTGGGACTTCTTTTCCTCAGTTTTTATAATGTCATTTCCTGGCTCGGCTTCCACAATTATTCTCATTCTCATTCTCTCTCTTTCTCTCTCCTCTCTCTCTCTCTCTCTCTCTCCCCCTCTTTCCCCGCCCCCCTTCGCCCTCTCCATCAACAATTGATTCTCCAAATATGGATGAACTCTGCATGACCTTTTGTGTATTCATTAGGTGAATACACCTTTTGTGTATTCAACAGACAAATATTTATGAAGAGATTGACAGCATTAGATTTGTCTTTTGGAAATACCACCCTGGCTACAGTGTGAAAATTGTCTTGGATTGGGTGTGGCAAGAGACCCAGTGGGGTTGTCTGTAGAGCTTGTTAGCTCTAACAGGAGAAAATGATTACTTGAAACAGGGTTCTGGTAGTGGAGATGAGTGAAACAAATGATTTTGCAACCTGTTGAAGGGGTCTATCCCCCATTCCTACCTGAACAGGACTTCCCAGGCTTTCAGTAATTGTCTCCTAAAATTTGGACCTCTAAGGTCCCTGGAGAAAACGTCTCTAAGATATACTATCTTAGAGATATATGACCAACTACTCTAGCTGTGTAACTTGGGGAAAGGACTTAAACCCTCCATGCCTCAGTGTCTTTATATGTAAAGTAAGCCTTCTAATATGACTTGCTACATAGGATTTTTTTAAGGTTTAAGTGAGAGATGCTTTAAAGTGTTAAGCACAGTGCTTGGCCCACAGTCAGAGCACAATAAATGTTAGGCACTGAACTACTGCTACCACCATTCCTACAACCGAATCTTTCTTTCTTTTCTTTTCTTTCTTTTTTTTTTCTTGAGACAGAGTCTCGCTCTGTTGCCCAGGCTGGAATGCAGTGGTATGATCTTGGCTCACTGCAAGCTCCACTTCTCGAGTTCAAGCCATTCTCCTGCCTCAGCCTCCCGAGTAGCTGGGACTACAGACACCCGCCACCATGCCTGGCTTATTTTTTGTATTTTTAGTAGAGACAGGGTGTCACCGTGTTAGCCAGGATGGTCTCGATCTCCTGACCTCGTGATCTGCCCGCCTCAGCCTCCCAAAGTGCTGGGATTACAGGCATGAGCCACCACACCCGGCCAACTGAATCTTTCTTTTTTTTTTTTGTAGTTAAAAAATTTGGAGATAATGGGTATTTTTACCTTTGAGTTGAATACATTTATTTAATTATAAGTTTATATGTAATTTCATTTTTTTTGTTTTTGTTGTTTTTGCTTTCTTTTTTTTATTATACTTTAAGTTCTAGGGTACATGTGCACAACGTGCAGGTTTGTTACATATGTATACATGTGCCATGTTGGTGTGCTGCACCCATTAACTCGTCATTTACATTAGGTATATCTCTTAATGCTATCGCTCCCCCCTCCCCCAACCCCATGACAGGTCCCGGTGTGTATGTTCCCCTTCCTGTGTCCAAGTGTTCTCATTGTTCAATTCCCACCTATGAGTGAGAACGTGCAGTGTTTGGTTTTTTGTCCTTGCGATAGTTTGCTGAGAATGATGGTTTCCAGCTTCATCCATGTCCCTGCAAAGGACATGAACTCATCCTTTTTTATGGCTGCATAGTATTCCATGATGTATATGTGCCACATTTTCTTTTCTTTTTTTTTCTTATACTTTAAGTTCCAGGGTACATGTGCAAAACGTGCAGGTTTGTTACATATGTATACATGTGCCATGTTGGTGTGCTGCACCCATTAACTCGTCATTTACATTAGGTATATCTCCTAATGCTATCCCTCCCCCCTTCCCCTACCCCACAACAGGCCTCAATGTGTGATGTTCTCCTTCCTGTGTCTAAGTGTTCTCATTGTTCAATTCCCACCCATGAGTGAGAACATGCGGTGTTTGGTTTTTTGTCCTTGTGATAGTTTGCTGAGAATGATGGTTTCCAGCTTCATCCATGTCCCTACAAAGGACATGAACTCATCCTTTTTTATGGCTGCATAGTATTCCACAGTGTATATGATGTGCCACATATTCTTAAGCCAGTCTATCATTGTTGGACATTTGGGTTGGTTCCAAGTCTTTGCTATTGGAATAGTGCCACAGTAAACATACATGTGCATATGTCTTCATAGCAGCATGACTTATAATCCTTTAGGTATATAGCCAGTAATGGTATTGCTGGGTCAAGTGATATTTCTGGTTCTAGATCCCTGAGGAATCACCACACTAACTTCCACAACGATTGAACTAGTTTACAGTCCCACCAACAGTGTAAAAGTGTTCCTATTTCTCCACATCCTCTCCAGCATCTGCTGTTTCCTGACTTTTTAATGATTGCCATTCTAACTGGTGTGAGATGGTATCTCATTGTGGTTTTGATTTGCATTTCTGATGGCCAGTGATGATGAGCATTTTTTCATGTATTTCTTGGCTGCATGAATGTCTTCTTTTGAGAAGTGTCTGTTCAGATCCTTTGCCCACTTTTTGATGGGGTTGTTTGTTTTTTTCTTGTAAATTTGTTTGAGTTCTTTGTAGATTCAGGATATTAGCCCTTTGTCAGATGAGTAGATTGCAAAAATTTTCTCCCATTCTGTAGGATGCCTGTTCACTCTGATGGTAGTTTCTTTGCTGTGCAGAAGCTCTTTAGTTTAATTAGATCCCATTTGTCAATTTTGGCTTTTGTTGCCATTGCTTTTGGTGTTTTAGACATGAAGTCCTTGCCCATGCCTATGTCCTGAATGGTATTGCCTAGGTTTTCTTCTAGGGTTTTAATGGTTTTAGGTCTAACATTTAAGTCTTTAAGCCATCTTGAATTAATTTTTGTATAAGGTGTAAGGAAGGGATCCAGTTTCAGCTTTCTACATTTGGCTAGCCAGTTTTCCCAGCACCATTTATTAAATGGGAACCCCTTCCCCATTTCTTGTTTTTGTCAGGTTTGTCAAAGATCAGATGGTTGTAGATGTGTGGTATTATTTCTCAGGGCTCTGTTCTGTTCCATTGGTCTATATCTCTGTTTTGGTACCAGTACCATGCTGTTTTGGTTACTGTAGCCTTGTAGTATAGTTTGAAGTCAGGTAGCGTGATGCCTCCAGCTTTGTTCTTTTGGCTTACGATTGACTTGGCAATGTGGGCTCTTTTTGGGTTCCATATGAACTTTAAAGTAGTTTTTTTTTCCAATTCTGTGAAGAAAGTCATTGGTAGCTTGATGGGGATGGCATTGAATCTATCAATTACCTTGGGCAGTATGGCCATTTTCATGATATTGATTCTTCCTATCCGTGAGCATGGAATGTTCTCCCATTTGTTTGCGTCGTCTTTTATTTTGTTGAGCAGTGGTTTGTAGTTCTCCTTGAAGAGGTCCTTCACATCCCCTGTAAGTTGGATTCCTAGGTATTTTATTCTCTTTGAAGCAATAGTGAATGGGAGTTCACTCATGATTTGGCTTTCTGTTTGTCTGTTATTGGTGTATAAGAGTGCTTGTGATTTTTGCACATTGATTTTGTATGCTGAGTCTTTGCTGAAGTTGCTTATCAGCTTAAGGAAATTTTGGGCTGAGACAATGGGGTTTTCTAAATATACAATCATGTCATCTGCAAACAGGGACAATTTGACTTCCTCTTTTCCTAATTGAATACCCTTTATTTCTTTCTCCTGCCTGATTGCCCTGGCCAGAATTTCCAACACTATGTTAAATTTGAGTGGTGAGAGAGGGCATCCCTGTCTTGTGCCAGTTTTCAAAGGGAATGCTTCCAGTTTTTGCCCATTAAGTATCATATAGGCTGTGGGTTTGTCTTAAATAGCTCTTATTATTTTGAGATACATCCCATCAATACCTAATTTATTGAGAGTTTTTAGCATGAAGGGCTGTTGAATTTTGTCAAAGGCCTTTTCTGCATCTATTGAGATAACCATGTGGTTTTTGTCTTTGGTTCAGTTTATATGCTGGATTACGTTTATTGATTTGCATATGTTGAACCAGCCTTGCATCCCAGGGATGAAGCCCATTTGATTATGGTGGATAAGCTTTTTGATGTGCTGCTGGATTCGGCTTGCCAGTATTTTATCGAGGATTTTTGCATTGATGTTCATCGGGGTATTGGTCTAAATTTCTCTTTTCTTGTTGTATCTCTCTCAGGCTTTGGTATCAGGATAATGCTGCCCTCATAAAATGAGTTAGGGAGGATTCCCTCTTTTTCTATTGATTGGAATAATTTCAGAAGGAATGGTACCAGCTCCTCCTTGTACCTCTTGTAGAATTTGGCTGTGAATCCTTCTGGTCCTAGACTTTTTTTGGTTGGTAGGCTATTAATTATTGCCTCAATTTCAGAGCCTGTTATTGGTCTATTCAGGGATTCAACTTCCTCCTGGTTTAGTCTTGGGAGGGTGTATGTGTCCAGGAATTTATCCATTTCTTCTAGATTTTCTAGTTTTTTCTTTTTTTGTGTGTGTATAGGTGTTTATAGTATTCTCTCATGATAGTTTGTATTTCTATGGGATCGGTGATGATATCCCCTCTATCATTTTTTATTGTGTCTATTTGATTCTTCTCTCTTTTCTTCTTTATTAGTCTTGCTAGCAGTCTATCAGTTTTGTTGATCTTTTCAAAAAACCAGCTCCTGGATTCATTGATTTTTTGAAGGGTTTTTTGTGTCTCTATCTCGTTTAGTTCTGCTCTGATCTTAGTTATTTCTTGCCTTCTGCTAGCTTTTGAATGTGTTTGCTCTTGCTTCTCTAGTTCTTTTAATCGTGATGTTAGGGTGTCAATTTTAGATCTTTCCTGCTTTCTCTTGTGGGCATTTAATGCTATAAATTTCCCTCTACACACTGCTTTGAATGTATCCCAGAGATTCTGGTATGTTGTGTCTTTGTTCTCACTGGTTTTAAAGAACATCTTTATTTTTGCCTTCATTTCGTTATGTACCCAGTAGTCATTCAGGAGCAGGTTGTTCAGTTTCCATGTGGTTGAGCAGTTTTGAGTGAGTTTCTTAATCCTGAGTTGTAGTTTGATTGCACTGTGGTCTGAGAGACAGTTTGTTATAATTTCTGTTCTTTCACATTTGCTGAAGAGTGCTTTACTTCCAACTATGTGGTCAATTTTGGAATAAGTGCAGTGTGGTGCTGAGATGAATGTATATTCTGTTGATTTGGGGTGGAGAGTTCCGTAGACGTCTATTAGGTCTGCTTGGGGCAGAGCTGAGTTCAAGTCCTGAATATCCTTTTTAACTTTGTGTCTTGTTGATCTGTCTAATGTTGACAGTGGGGTGTTAAAGTCTCCCATTATTATTGTGTGGGAGTCTAAGTCTCTTTGTAGGTCTCTAAGGACTTGCTTTATGAATCTGGGTGCTCCTGTATTGGGTGCATATATATTTAGGATAGTTAGCTCTTCTTGTTGAATTGATCCCTTTATCATTATGTAATGGCCTTCTTTGTCTCTTTTGATCTTTGTTGGTTTAAAGTCTGTTTTATCAGAGACTAGGATTGCAACCCCTGCCTTTTTTTGTTTTCCATTTGCTTGGTAGATCTTCCTCCATCCCTTTATTTTGAGCTTATGTATGTCTCTGCACATGAGATGGGTCTCCTGAATACAGCACACTGATGGATCTTGACTCTTTTTCCAATTTGCCAGTCTGTGTCTTTTAATTGGGGCATTTAGCCCATTTACACTTAAGGTTAATATTGTTATGTGTGAATTTGATCCTGTTATTATGATGTTAGCTGGTTATTTTGCCCCTTAGTTGGTGCAGTTTCTTCCTAGCATCGATGTTCTTTACAATTTGGCATGTTTTTGCAGTGGCTGGTACAAGTTGTTCCTTTCCATGTTTAGTGCTTCCTTCAGGAGCTCTTTTAGGGCAGGCCTGGTGGTGACAAAATCTCTTAGCATTTGCTTGTCTGTAAAGGATTTCATTTCTCCTTCACTTATGAAGCTTAGTTTGGCTGGATATGAAATTCTGGGTTGAAAATTCTTTTCCTTAAGAATGTTGAATATTGGCCCCCACTCTCTTCTGGCTTGTAGGGTTTCTGCCGAGAGATCTGCTGTTAGTCTGACGGGCTTCCCTTTGTGAGTAACCCGACCTTTCTCTCTGGCTGCCCTTAACATTTTTTCCTTCATTTCAACTTTGGTGAATCTGACAATTATGTGTCTTGGGGTTGCTCTTCTCAAGGAGTATCTTTGTGGCATTCTATGTATTTCCTGAATTTGAATGTTGGCCTGCCTTGCTAGGTTGGGGAAGTTCTCCTGGATAATATCCTGAAGAGTGTTTTCCAACTTGGTTCCATGCTCCCCGTCACTTTCAGGTACACCGATCATACATAGATTTGGTCATTTCACATAGTCCCATATTTCTTGGAGTCTTTGTCAGTTTCTTTTTACCCTTTTTTCTCTAAACTTCTCTTCTCGCTTCATTTCATTCATTTGATCTTCCATCACTGATAACCTTTCTTCCAGTTGATCGAATTGGCTACTGAAGCTTGTACATTCAACACGTAGTTCTCGTGCCATGGTTTTCAGCTCCATCAGGTCATTTAATGACTTCTCTACACTGGTTATTCTAGTTACCCATTCGTCGATTTTTTTTCAAGGTTTTTAGCTTCTTTGTGATAGGTTCGAAGTTCCTTCTTTAGCTTGGAGAAGTTTGATCATCTGAAGCTTTCTTCTCTCAACTCTTTAAAGTCATTCTCTGTGCAGCTTTGTTCCATTGCTGGTGAGGAGCTGCATTCCTTTGGAGCGGGAGAGGCACTCAATTTTTAGAATTCTCAGGTTTTCTGCTCTGTTTTTTCTCCATCTTTGTGGTTTTATCTACCTTTGGTCTTTGATGATGGTGATGTACAGATGGGGTTTTGGTGTGGATATCCTTTCTGTTTGTTAGTTTTCCTTCCAGTAGTCAGGACCCTCAGCTGCAGGTCTGTTGGAGTTTGCTGGAGGTCCAGTCCAGACCCTGTTTGCCTGGGTATCAGCAGTGGAGGCTGCAGAACAGCGAATATTGCTGAACAGCAAATGTTGCTGCCTTATCGTTCCTTGGGAAGCTTCATCTCAGAGAGGTACCGGCCGTGTGAGGTGTCAGTCTGCCCCTACTGGGGGGTCCCTCCCAGTTAGGCTACTCAGGGGTCGGGGACCCACTTGAGGAGGCAGTCTGTCCGTTCTCAGATCTCAAACTCCATGCTGGGAGAACCACCACTCTCTTCAAAGCTGTCAGACAGGGACATTTAAGTCTGCAGAGATTTCTGCTGCCTTTTGTTTGGCTATGCCCTGCCCCCAGAGGTGGAGTCTACAGAGGCAGTCAGGCCTCCTTGAGCTGAGGTGGCCTCCACCTGGTTCAAACTTCCCGGCCACTTTGTTTACCTACTCAAGACTCAGCAATGGTGGGTGCCCCTCCCACATCCTCGCTGCCACCTTGCAGTTAGATCTCAGACTGCTGTGCTAACAATGAGCGAGGCTCTGTGGGCGTGGGACCCTCTGAGCCAGGCACAGGATATAATCTCCTGGTGTGCCGTTTGCTAAGACCATTGGAAAAGCACAGTATTAGGGTGGGAGGACCCAATTTTCCAGGTGCCATCTGTCCAGCTTCCCTTGGCTAGGAAAGGGAATTCCCTGACCCCTTGTGCTTCCCAGGGGAGGCGATGCCTCGCCCTGCTTTGGCTCACGCTCGGTGGGCTGCACCCGCTGTCCTGCACCCACTGTCCAACAAGCCCCAGTGAGATGAACCTGGTACCTCAGTTGGAAATGCAGAAATCACCCACCTTCTGCATCTCTCATGCTGGGAGCCGTAGAGTGGAGCTGTTTCTATTCGGCCATCTTGGAACCACCCCCAGCTGAATCTTTCTTAAGCCACAATTCTGAACACTGCTTTTTATGCCTTCAGCTAAATTTACTATTTGTTAACTCATATTTAGAAAACAGAATTAAGTAGTTTGGGAGCTAGAAGTTCAGGCTCAAACAATTTATCAGTGCTAGATCCAGAACTAGCACCCTAGGCCTTGACACCCCTGTTTATGGATGTTTTTCTGTTTATGTTTGTTTTATTTGTTCAACCAAAATTTAAACAACTTGAGGGCACAGCCCCTCTCCTTATGATTTCCCATTGCTCAGAAGGAAGCTTTGCACCTAAACGCACACTGGTAATGCAGAAAGGAAATCTGGTGCTTTAGGTTACAAATTAGATTAAATGGATTTATGGGCTAAACATTTTCAATTCTTGCTTGCCATATAATGAGAGAAATTAAAGCCCATTAAATGATTAATACTTTATCTAATGACTATCCTCCCAGGAGTTCAAAGTCTTTTTGAAATAATGCTCTAACATTCAGTATTCAACTATTCCTTGAGCACTTCTGAAAGCAGCAGTAATATAGTTAGGGTACCTCTGAGTGTACTGATATGAGTACTTCCAAATGGGTTCTTCCTGCTTACTGTGACTCCACGAGAGAATCAGGTTCATTTGATTCCTTTGTTCTTACAGTCCCCCTGTGAAACCTGCGTCATCACAATACAGAGGCCTGCATCTTACTGCACAAGTGGAGAGGCCATCTTCTAACATGTTTAACACTGCAGGTTCCCTCAACCCATCAGTGTCATCTCAGAAGGATCCCAGTGGAATTTTGTTACTTCTGGGACTCTTTCTTTTTTCATTTTACATAATGTGTTCTCTTCTGTGCCATTGTCCTTGTTACATAAAACTAAGCATCCCTCCATATATGAAGGAAACAAAACCAGTATCTCAAAGACATATCTGCACTCCCATGTTCAGTGAAGCATTACCCACAATAGACAAGACATGGAAACAATGTAAGTGTCCAAGGACAGATTAATGGATAAAGAAAATGTGATCCACACCCACACCCCCACAACACACACACAATGGAATATAATTCAGCCATAAAAAGAAGGAAATCCTGTCATTTGTAACTACGTGGATGAAACTCGTGGGCATTAAGCTAAGTAAAATAACTCAGAGAGAGTAAGACAAATACTGTATGATTTCATGTACATGTGGAATTCAAAAAGTTGAACTCACTGAAACTGAAAATAAAATGATGTTTTCCCAGGGAAAGGAGGTGGGGAAAATGGGAGCTGTTTATTGAAGGGTACAAACCTTCAGTTATGTGATGAATAAGTTCTAGGGATCTAATGTACAGTATGGTGACTATGGTTAATAATGTTGTATTGTCTACTTGAAATTTACTAAGAGAGTAGATCTTAAATAGTTTTGCCACACACAAAAAAGGTAGCTATGGGAGGTGATGGATGTGTTAACCAACTTAATTGTGACAATCATTTTACCATATATATGTATATCAAATCATCATGTACACTTTAAATTTATATAATTTTATTGTCAATTATACCTCACAAAAGGGAAAAAATGTAAACTTAAAATATTTTTTGAATTAAAAAATTAAGCATTTCTCCTTAGTGGCCTGATTGGAATCTCAGAATGTTTACTTTCCCACTGATCCCAATCAGGCAGGTGAACTTCACTGACTCAGTTGCTTAGGACCCAGCAACTTCGGGGTCATGGTTTTTGAGACTCTCGGTAAGGAAATAAATATATTTACAGTATCTGCTTGGGACACTTGTAGATCACAGTCCACTGCCTTATTTTTAACAATATTATCCATATATCTGTTTTTATACCACTGACCCATCTATCTTTCTTATTCTCATGAACTGAATTTTAAATTTTTTTCTCACCTATTTTTAATAATTTCCCCTGATAAAACTTTGCGGTTAAAAAAAAATTCCTGCAATATCCCCCAAATTAGAATAGCAATGAAAACAAGAAAGTAAAATTACTATCATCTTATTCTTATAATATCTAAGTTGTGGAATACCCTATTTTCTTAGAATCATAAAATTTTAGAATGGGAAATGTCCTTAGAGAATTTGACAGTTACAATACAGTGCGGAGTAACTAGAATGCTTTATGAATGGCTCATTCTAATTCAGTAAGGAAATTTCATTTCATTTGTCAGGAAAGGTATCAACCCCTTGGAAATGGCCAAGAGAGATTGCCAACTGTCCATCAGATTAATATTGCAAATGTCTAGCAGACTCTCCAGGGATTAGCTGATTCTATGGGGTGTGTACCTTTGATTGCTTTTGACAAGGCCATTTTATAAAATCTGTAGTGATATGGTATTACCCTTGTAGAAAACCGGTAAGAATACAAGTATTTCTTGTGTATAGCAAAGCAAATGGTTTCTGTTCATGGTGATTTAATTTC
This sequence comes from Homo sapiens, assembly GCF_000001405.40. Taxonomy (NCBI): domain Eukaryota; kingdom Metazoa; phylum Chordata; class Mammalia; order Primates; family Hominidae; genus Homo; species Homo sapiens. The sequence goes on along the minus strand of NC_000012.12, from coordinate 29,846,047 downwards.
TCCAGTGGAGAATATGAGTATCTGTAAGCCAATTTCTCATTTGAATCTGTCTCAGTATCTTACGGATTTTCTCATTAATCAAAGAATTAAATAGAATCTTTGACAATGTTCATTTTGTATCTGTATGGAAATTATGATTTTGTCATTTTGAAAATTATGCTTTAAAACAACTTTGTTCTGAAAATTTTGTTTAAAATCTATTAACTGAGGCTCATGCCTGTAATCCCACCACTTTGGGAGACTGAGGCAGGTGGATCACGAGGTCAGGAGATCAAGACCATCCTGGCTAACACGGTGAAACCGTCTCTACTAAAAATACAAAAAATTAGCCGGGCATGGTGGCGGGCACCTGTAGTCCCAGCTAGTCAGGAGGCTGAGGCAGGAGAATGGCATGGAACCTGGGAAGCCGAAATTGCAGTGAGCCATGATCACGCCATTGCACTCCAGCCTGGGTGACAGAGCGAGACTCCAAAAAAAAAAAAAAAAATCTATTAACTGATTTTCTGTCTTTAGTAAACAGTATACTTTAATATGGTAAACATTATTATATCTTAAGGAATTTGTAATATTTCAGAGTTTTTATGATAGGCACCAATTTATAGCTATGTAACTATCTCGGAGACGTGGTAGCAAAATGACTAAGCAGATGGGTTTAGAACCAGAGTGCTCAGTAAAAATCCCAGCTCTCCCCTTTATCAGCTGTGAGCTATATAGCCAGTTATTTAAACCCTTTCTGTTTCAGTTTCTTCATCTTTACCATAAGTTTGATGTGAGAATCAAATGAATAAATATATGTAAAGCACTTGGAACAATTGCACAGTGTTTTACTGTGTTTTGTATTGTCATTCTCAAAAGAATCACAGATGAGTTTAACTTCTGAATGCTCAATCTTGCCATGGGGAGAGAGAAAACCTCTCAAGAATGGGGAAATTTTTTGCCTGTCCAGACCTGGGTGAACAAGTCTGTCTAACTTGAGGTTTCATTGAGTAGCCAGTCCCTTGAGGTTCTCACCCTGAGCTAGATTCCAACTTGTCCTCTGTGAGAGTTCTGCATTGTCACCTTGGCTAGTCTGAACTAAAATTTCAATAATTCTCCTTTTTGTATATTTGCAGTTAGGATGGGTCAAAAGGAGACTCTTGCAAAGTTTTTGGAAGGCAGGCAGGAGGCAGCAGACGTTTTGTAGTTGACACATCTGTTGCTAGTCCACTGACTCATCTTGCTGGTGTGGGGCAGCAACTGGGCCTACAGATGCTTTACCTGCCCCTGAATCTTTCCTCAATTTTTCTTGAAGGTTGTATGTTTAGCTCTATAACAAAGTTCCCAGCTTCTGCAGGATACCTTCATCACCAAGAGCAGGTTTCAGTCCATTCCTACGAGGTTCCAGCCTATTAGTGAGCTTTTCTTCCTGTCTGCACTGAGAACTTCATGCTCCAGCATCAGATTTGTAGCCCTCCAAGACGGCTTAACCAGCCCCCGTAATTGTATAAACAAATCCTGCTTTAATAAATCCCTTCATATATATACACATATCTCCTACTGACTCTACTTCTCTTGTTAAACCTGACTGATGCAGAATTTGGTAACAGGAGTGAGGAAGCCAGGAAGAGTGCATTCAACTGTTTATTCATTCACTCAATACAAATGGACCATATTACATATATACAGGTTAAATATCACTTATCAGAAATGCATGGGACAAGAAGAGTTTCGAATCTGGCGGTTTTTCAGATTTTGAAATATTTTCACATGCATAATGAGATATCTTGGGGATGGGACCCAAGGTTAAACTCCAAATTTACTAATGTCTTATACATACCTTGTATACATAGTCTGAAGGTAATTTCATATGGTAGTTTTACCAACTTTGTGCATGAAACAAAGTCTGTATTGTGTAACTAGGTGTGGAATTTTCCATTTTCCACTTGGAATATTATGTCGCTGCTCAAAAAGTCTCTGAGTTTGAAGCATTTTGGATTTCAGATTTTTAGATTAGGAATGCTCAACCTGTAATTATATAATCTGCCTTTATCACCTGAAAACATATCATGAACATTTTGTTCTATGTGAATACTTAATCTATTTTTAATGGGTAGATAGTCCTTTGTAATTATGAACCATAGTTTATTTAATAAAGTACTTAATATGAGCATTCAGATTGCTTCGAATGACAAGCCCACCATAAACATTTCTGTACGTAGGTATTTGCATACTTTTCTGATTATCCTCTTAGGATAAATTCCAGAAGAGAAATTGTTTAGTCAAGTGATATGCTCAATTAAGTTTTTTATTTGTTTGATCAGAATAGGTGTTCCGATTTCCTCCCCTACCAGCTGTGTATGAAATGACTCGATTCTTCAGAACTTCCTTGATATTTTAAATCAAGGCACCCACAATGAATTGCAGTGGTTTGTTCTGTGAATTAAACTGGACTTACTATTGCTTTTAGAGGTCTCTAAATGCTGTCTATTAAGCCAATTGGCTGCTTTCCCCTTCAGGTGACATCTCCATAGCCAGCTTTTAAACTCTTAGGGTCAGTGACTGAAGCCAGAGCCTTTCCAGTTCTAGTTCCGCTGCACACCTCCAAGAACCTCCATCAGGGCCATCCTCCACCATATAAGACTATGCTTAAAGCAAGCAAATAGGCCAATGCTAGCTGAGGAAGTTTTCTGAAAGCAGCTTGCTTGTGGGTAGTGCTGATGTGCTTTCATTCACCACTGTTTGCAAAGTACTAAAGTAATTGGAGATCTTTAGCAGGAAATTCTGCTGACTGAGAGAGGATGAAGTGCTGAAATCCTTTTAACTCCCACAGCACTTACTCAGAACCATCTGAATGCATTTAAAGTATCTGTTAAAAGATGCTAAGAGGAGTTTGAAAGTTATCACCAGAGCCTACCCAGATGGCAATGCTCACATAACTGTTTATTTTTCATCCTGTTTAAAAGAATATTCTCACAATGCAGGTTTAGAGGTGATGAGGAACCTCAGAATGACATAATCCATTTTAACTATAAACCATAAATATCCATTAAAATCTCATCCCACCCATACTCTCTTTTTCTTTTCAAATGTGAAAGAATACAATCCTCCTCTTTTCAAAAAAAATAACTGTGAAAGCTACTTCACTACAAGTATAGCAGTTGAAATGGCTTTGGCCCATAATCCATGGCTTTTTCTGGTTAATCTTTCTTCTCTGCTTTTTGGTTCAGGAGAATAAACTACATCTCCTTTCTGTAGATATTCACATACAAGAGAAGGGGTACAATAGCACTGTTATGGTGAGTAAAGTGTTAAGGAAGTACTGGTTAATCCATGAGGGATGAGCCAACAGTATCAATGCAATAGGTTTGAGAGGTTTTATATCTTCCTTGGAGATCAAAAGAATACTAGAACTGGCGGACTAGGAGATGAAAAAGTAATTAAAAGAATGGATATGTGACAAAGACATAGTAGCATTCAAAGAACTCTATTTCAGAAATGTGAAACAGAAGGAATTTTTGCAAGTAAAATTTATTTAAAAGACTTGAGAAGTGTCCCACTTCTGAGTGGCTTCTTGAGTGTGAGGTTGCTGTCTAATTAGCAAGATAAATTTCAGGGCATATAACTGCATGGGTGTGTTTGTATACTGGTAGCCATTTAGGTGAAAGTGTCCCTTCTTGTTAACAAGCAAAGTTCCTCTGTCATTTGGAATCATCTGAAACATTTTTTTGGTTTCTCTGGAAATTTTATGGTCTCTATTATCCAAATGATTCAGAAATGAAATGTTGTTTGCCCCTGAGAGCTTTCCTACTGAGCAGTGTGTCTACAGATTGCAGTCTGACAACAATATCAACTAGTTTTAAGAGAGAAAAAAATTGAGTCGCTAGAAATAAAGGGAGTCCTTCATCCTCAGACATACTGGGCCAGGCAGTCAGTATTCAGCTCTGGATTCAAAGCCCTTGCTTGGTAACATTGTCCTGGTGTCCTGGTTGTTTATGGCCAATGATCATTTGAATCTTCAGGAGTCTGTAACATTGTTTAAAAAGGCTTGAGGAGAGGAGTGGAGCAAGATGGCCAAATAGAAAGCTCCACCAATCGTCCCCCTACCAAGACACTAGTTTTTGTTTTTGTTTTTGTTTTTTGTTTTTTGTTTTTCCAGATGGCGTCTCACTCTACTGCCCAGGCTAGAGTGCAATGGTGCAATCTCAGCTCACTGCAACCTTCGCCTCCCAGGTTCAAATGATTCTCCCGCCTTAGCCTCCTGAGTAGCTGGGATTATAGGTATCCACCATCAAGCCTGGCTAATTTTAGTATTTTTGTAGAGATGGGGTTTCACTGTGTTGGCCAGACTGGTCTTGAACTCCTGACCTTAGGTGATCTGCCCGCCTTGGTCTCCCAAAGTCCTGGGATTACAGGCATGAACCACCGTGTCTGGCCCAAGGACACCAATTTAACAACTATCTATTAATACATTTAAAAAGCACATTTATATGAACCAAAAATAGGATAAACACTCACAGTTGTTGATTTTAACTTCGTATCACTGAAAGAGGCACTGAAGAAGCCAGGAAAGACAGTCATTAATCAGTAACACCACTCCTCCCCTTTTCCTCAGTAGTGGCTACATGGCACAGAGAAAGAGTCTGTGTGCTTGAGAGAGGGAGGACACAGCAATTGTGAGACATTGCATTGAACTCAGTGCTGCTCTGTCATGGCAGAAACAAAACTGGGCTGAACTCTGCTGATGCCTGTCCACGAAGGGAGTATGTAAACCCGACCTAGCCAGAGGGGTATCACACATCCCAGTAGTCAGAACTTGAGTTCCAGTGAGCCTCACCACCATGGCCTAAAGTGCTCTGAGGCCCTAAATAAACCTGAAAGGCAGTCTAGGCCACAAACACTGCAATTCCTAGGTGAGGCCTAGGGCTGAACTGAGCTTAGAGCCAGTGGACTTAGGGGGCACATGATGTACTAAGACATCCTTGGGGTGCCTATGGGAGTGCTTGCACCACCGTTCCCCCATCCTCAGGCTGCACAGCTTATGGCTCCAAAAGAGACCCCGTCCTTCTGCTTGAGGAGAGGAGAGGGAAAAGTAAAGAGAACTTTGTCTTGAATATTGGATACCTGCTCAGCCACAGTACAATAGGGCATCAGTCAGAGTTGTGAGGTCCCCTTTCCAGGTCCTAGCTCCTGGACAACATTTCTAGACACACTCTGGGCCAGAAGGGAAAAGACTAAACAGCCCTTGGACCCTGAATAACCAGCAGCAACACCCAGGTAGTATGCTGTAGGCCTTGGGTGAGACTCTGAGGCATGGTGGTTTTAGGTGTGACCCACCACATTCCCAGTTGTGGTGGCTATGAGAAGAGACTCTTTCTACTTGAAAAAGGGGAAGGGAAAAGTGAAGGGGACTTTGTCTTGTTCCTTAGGTACTAGCTCAGCCACATGAGAGTAGAGCACCAAGTGGGCTCTTGGGGGCTATGGTTCCAGGCCTTGGTTCTTAGACAGCATTTCTGGACCTGCCCTGAGTTAGAGGTAAGCCCACTGCCTTGAAGGGTGTCATAGGCCTGGAAGCATTCATCACAAGCTAACTAAAGAGATCTTGGGCCTTACACGTACACTGATGGTAGCCTGGCTGTACTCCCCATGGGCCTGTGGTGATGGTGACCAAGGGGAGAGGCTCCTCTGCCTGTGGAAAGGGGAGGGAAGAGTGGGAAGGACTGCGTCTCATGATTTGAGTGTCAGCTCAGTCTCAGTAAAAGAAAACACCAGGTAGGCATCTAAGGGTTTTTAACTCCAGTCCCTGGCTCCTGGACAGCACTTCTGGAGCCTCCTGGGCCCTAGGGAAACTTAATGTCATGAAGGGGAGAACACAACCCTGGCTGGCTTCATCACCTGCTGATTGTAGAGCCCTGGGGCCTTGAGTGAACATTGGCAGTGTCCAAGTGATAGTTACAGTGGGCACTGGGAAGACCCAGTGCTGTGCTGGCTTTAGGTCTGACCCAGCACATTCCCAGTGGTAGTGGTCAAAAGAGTGCTTGGATTACAACATCCATAGTTCTAGGCAGCTCACCACAGAGACAGAGACTCCATTCATCTGGGAGAAAGTAAGGGAAGAGAACAAAGTCTCTGCCTGGTAATCCAAAGATTCTTCTGGATCTTTTCCAAAATAATCAATGTGGTACCTCTAAAAGACTCCAAAAAGTACAACATTGTTGGGCTTGGGGTGGCCCCTAATGCAGATACAGCTTTTATTAAAACACCCAAGTCCTTTTGAATACTTGGAAAGCCTTCCCAAAAAAGGAAGAATACGAAGAAGGCCAGACTGAGAAGACTGCAATAAATACCTAACTCTTCAATGCCTGGACACAGACAAACATCCACAAACATCAAGACCATCCAGAAAAACATGACCTCACCAAATGAACTAAATAAGTCACTAGAGACCAATCTTGGAGAAACAATGATATGTGACCATTCAGACAGGGAATTCAGAATACCTGTTTTGAGAAAACTCAGTGAAATCCAAGATAACATAGAGAAGGAATTCAGAATATTGTTCAGATAAATTCAACAAAGAGATTGAAATAATTTAAAATAATCAAGCAGGAATTCTGGAGTTAAAAATGCAAACGACATACTGAAGAATGCATCAGAGTCTTTTAATAGCAGAATTGATCAAGCAGAAGAAAGAATTAATGAGCTTGAAGGCAGGCTATTTGAAAAAACATAGAGGAGACAAAAGAAAAAAGAATAGAAAACAATGAAGCATACCTACAGGATCTAGAAAATAGCTTTAAATGGGCAAATATAAGAGTTATTGGCCTTACAGAGCAGGTAGAGAAAGAGATAGGGGTAGAAGGCTTATTCAAAGGGATAATAAGAGCTTCCCAAACCTAGAGAAAGATATCAATATTCAAGTACAAGAAGGTTATAGAACACCAAACAGATTTAACCCAAAGAATACTGCCTCAAGACATTTAAAAAACAAACTCCCAAAGATCAAGGATAAAGAAAGGATCATAAAGGCATCAAGATAAAAAGAAACAAATAATATACAATGGAACTCCAATAAGTCTGGTAGCAGATTTTTCAGTGGAAACCTTATAGGCCAGGATAGAATGGCTTGACATATTTACAGTGCTGAAGGAAAATATCTTCAGATATGAAGCAGAAATAAAGACTTTCCCAGAAAAACTAAAACTGAGGGATTTTGATCAATACTAGACCTTTCCTACAAGGAATGCTAAAGGGAGTTCTTCAATCAGAAAGAAAAAACTGTTAATCGGCAGTAATAAATCACCTGAAGATAGAAAACTCTCTGGTAACGGTAAGTACACAGAAAATCAAAGAATATTATAATACTGTAGTTGTGGTTTGTTAACTACTCTTCAGTAGAAAGACTGAAAGTAGAAAGATGCACCAATCAAAAACAATAAATGCAATGACTTTTTAAGACTTAGACAATAAAATAAGATATAAATAGAAACAACAAAAAGGTAAAAAGCAGGGGGATGAAGTTATGGCATAGAGTTTGTATTAGTTTTCTTTTTGCTTGTTGTTTGTTTATGCAAACAGTGTTAACTTGTTATCAACTTAAAATAATGGGTTATATGATTGTATTTGCAAGCCTCATGGTAACCTCAAATCACAACAGATACACAAAAGATAAAACGCAAGAAATTAAATCACACCACCAGAGAAAAAACACCTCCACTAAAAGGAAGACAGGAAGGGAGGAAAGAAGAAAAGAGCAGATCACAAAACAACCAGAAAACAAATAACAAGATGGCAAAACTAATTGGACTAAAGTCTCCAATTTGATTGGAGAGTTTGATTGGACTAAACTCTCCAATCAAAAGATATAGAGTGGCTGAATAGATTAAAAAACAATGATCAATTGCCTATAAGAAACACACTTTACCTATAAAGACAAACACAGACTGAAAATAAAGGGATGGAAAAAGATATTCTATGCCAGCGGAAACCAAAAAAGAGCAGAAGTAGCTATACTTATATCAGACAAAATAGCTTTCAAGACAAAAGCTGTAAGACAAGACAAAGAAGGTCACTATTTAATTATAAAGTGGTCCATTCAGGAAGAGGGTATAATAATTGTAAATACATATGTACCCCACACTGGATCACTCAGATACATATATATATAGCAAATATTTTTAGAGCTAAAGAAAGAGGGAGAGAGACCCCATTAAAATAATAGCTGAAGACTTCAACACCCCACTTTTAGCATTGAACAGATCTTCCAGACAGAAAATCAACAAAGAAGTATGGGACATAATCTGCACTATAGATTAATGGACCTAATAAATATTTACAGAATAGTTCATCCAAAGGCAGCAGAATACACATTCTTTCCCTTAGCACATGGATCATTCTCAAGGATAGACCCACAAAACAAGTCACAAAACAAGTATTAAAACGTTCAAAAAATGAAATAATATCAAATGTCTTCTCTGACTACAGTGTAATAAAACTTGAAATCAATAATAAGAGGAATTTTGGAAACTGTGCAAACACACAAACATTAGACAATATGCTCCTAAATGAGCTGTAGGTCAATGAAGAAGTTAAGAAGGAAATAGAAAAAAAATTTTGAAACAATTGAAAATTGAAATACAACATACTAAATCCTGTGGGATACAGTGAAAGCAGTAATAAGAGGTAAATTTATAGGTATAAGTGCCTACATCAAAAAAGAAAAAATACTTCAACTAAGCAACCTAACAATGTATTTTAAACAACTAGGAAAGCAAGAGTAAAACAAATGCAAAATTATTAGAAGAAAAGAAAAAATAAAAATCATAGGAGAAATAAATTTCAAATAAAGTAAACCACTTAAAAAATCAACAAAACAAAAAGTTGGTGTTTTTTTTTTTTTGTTTTGTTTTTTTTCTGAGACCGAGTCTCACTCTGTCCTCCAGGCTGGAGTGCAGTGGCGGGATCTCTGCTCACTGCAAGCTCCGCCCCCTAGGTTCATGCCATTCTCCTGCCTCAGCCTCCCCAGTAGCTGGGACTACAGGTGCCCGCCACCATGCCTGGCTAATTTTTTGTATTTTTAGTAGAGACAGGGTTTCACCGTGTTAGCCAGGATGGTCTCAATCTCCTGACCTCGTGATCCACCTGCCTTGTCTCCCAAAGTGCTGGGATTACAGGTGTGAGCCACCACGCCTGGTCAAAAGTTGGTCTTTTAAAAAGATAAACAAAATTGACAAAACTATAGCAAGACTAATGGAGAAAAAAAAGGAGAAGACCCAAATATATAAAATCAGAGATGAAAAAGGAGACATTACAACCAAAACCACAGACATTCAAAGGATTATTAGCAGCTGCTATGAGCAACTATATGCCAATAAATTGGAAAATCAAGAAGAAATGGATAAATCCCCAGACACATGTAACCTACCAGGATTGAACCACAAAGAAATCCAAAACCTAAACAGACCAATAACAAGCAAGGAGATTGAAGCTGTAATAAAACATCTCCCAGCAAAGAAAAGCCCAGGACCTGATGGCTTCATGCTGAATTCTACCAAACACTTAAAAAGGAGCTAGTACCAATTCTATTCAAACTATTGCAAAAAATAGAGGAGGAGAGACTACTTCAAAACTCATTCTACGAGGCCAGTATTACCCTGATACCAAAACCAGACAAAATCTATACATCAATTAAAAAAATACATAGGCCAACCACTGATTAATGTTGATACAAAAATCCTCAACAAAATACTAGCAAACTGAATTTAACAACACATTAAAAAGATCATTCATCATGACCAAGTGAGATTTATCCCAGGGAAGCAAGAATGGTTCAACATATTAAAATCAATTGATGGGATACATCAAATAAACAGAATGGAGGACAAAAACCATATGATCATTTCAATTGAGGCTGAAATAGCTTTTGATAAACTTCATCATCCCTTCATGATAAAAGCCCTTAACCAATTGCGTATAGAAGGAACATACCTCAATATAATAAAAGGCATATACAACAGACACATAGTATCATACTGAATGGGAAAAAACTGAAAGTCTTTTCTCTAAGATCAAGAACACAACAAGATTGCCCATCTTCACCACTGTTATTCAACATAGTGCAATCAAGCAAGAGAAAGAAATAAAGGGCATCCAAATTGGAAAGGACAAAGTCAAATTAGCCTTTTTGGCAGATAATATAATCTTACATTTGGACAAACCTAAATACCAGAAAACTTTTAGAACGGATAACAATTCATTACAGTTGCAGGATATCAAATCACCATACAAAAATCAGTACCATTTTTATATGCCAACAGTGAACCATCCGAGGAAGAAATCAAGAAAGTAATCCCATTTATAATAGCTACAAATAAAATGAGAAATACCTAGTAATTAAGGTAACCAAAAAAAATGAAAGACCTCTACAATGAAAACTATAAAACATTGATGCAAGAAATTGAGGAAGACACAAAAAATGGAAAGATGTTCCATGTTCATGGATTGGAAGAATTAATATTGTTAAAATGTTATACTACCCAAAGCAATCTACAGATTCAATACAATCCCTATCAAAATACTAATGCCATTCTTCACAGAAACATAAAAAACAATTCTAAAATCTATATGGGACCACAAAAGGCCCAGAATAGCCAAAGTTATCCAAAGCAAAAGGAACAAAACTGAAGGAGTCGCATTACCTGACTTAAATTTACACTACAGTGCTACAGTAACCAAAATGGCATGACACTAGCATAAAAACAGACACATAGATCAGTGGACTAGAGAACACAGAGATAAATCTATACATTTACCGTGAACTCATTTTTGACAAAGGTGTTAAGAACACACTTGGAGAAAGGACAGTCTCTTCAATAAATGATGCAGGGAAAAGTGGATATCACTATGCAGAAGAATGAAACTAGACCTCTACCTCTCACCGTTTGTAAGAAACCAAATCAAGATGAATTAAAGACATGAATCTATGAAACTACTAAAATAAAACATTAGGGGAAACTCTCCAGTACATTGATCTGGGCAAAGATTTCTTGAGTAATATCCCACAAGCAGAGTCAACCAAAGCAAAAATGGAAAAATGGGATCACATCAAGTCAAAAACCTTCTGCACAGCAAAAGAAACAATCAACAAAGTGAAGAGACAACATACAGAATAGAAGGAAGTATTTGCAGACTACCCATCTGGCAAGGGATTAGTAAACAGAATATATGAGGAGCTTATACAATGCTACAGGAAAAAATCTAATAATCCAATCAAAACTAGGCAAAAGATCTGAATACACATTTCCCAAAAGAAGACATATGAATGGCAAACAGGTATATAAAAAGGTGCTCAACATCACTGATCATCAGAGAAATGCAAATCAAAACTACAATGAGATATGTTCTTTTTTTTTATTATACTTTAAGTTTTAGTGTACATGTGCACATTGTGCAGGTTAGTTACACATGTATACATGTGCCATGCTGGTGTGCTGCACCCACTAACTCGTCATCTAGCATTAGGTATATCTCCCAATGCTATCCCTCCCCCCTCCCCCCACCCCACAACAGTCCCCAGAGTGTGATATTCCCCTTCCTGTGTCCATGTGATCTCATTGTTCAATCCCCACCTATGAGTGAGAATATGCGGTGTTTGGTTTTTTGTTCTTGCGATAGTTTACTGAGAATTATGATTTCCGATTTCATCCATGTCCCTAAAAAGGACATGAATTCATCATTTTTTATGGCTGCATAGTATTCCATGGTGTATATGTGCCACATTTTCTTAATCCAGTCTATCATTGTTGGACATTTGGGTTGGTTCCAAGTCTTTGCTATTGTGAATAATGCTGCAATAAACATACGTGGGCGTGTGTCTTTATAGCAGCATGATTTATAGTCCTTTGGGTATATACCCAGTAATGGGATGGCTGGGTCAAATGGTATTTCCAGTTCTAGATCTCTGAGGAATCGCCACACTGACTTCCACAATGGTTGAACTAGATTACAGTCCCACCAACAGTGTAAAAGTGTTCCTATTTCTCCACATCCTCTCCAGCACCTGTTGTTTCCTGACTTTTTAATGATCGCCATTCTAACTGATGTGAGATGGTATCTCATTGTGGTTTTGATTTGCATTTCTCTGATGGCCAGTGATGATGAGCATTTTTTCATGTGTTTTTTGGCTGCATAAATGTCTTCTTTTGAGAAGTGTCTGTTCATGTCCTTTGCCCACTTTTTGATGGGGTTGTTTTTTTCTTGTAAATTTGTTTGAGTTCATTGTAGATTCTGGATATTAGCCCTTTGTCAGATGAGTAGGTTGCGAAAATGTTCTCCCATTTTGTAGGTTGCCTGTTCACTCTGATGGTAGTTTCTTTTGCTGTGCAGAAGCTCCTTAGTTTAATTAGATCCCATTTGTCAATTTTGGCTTTTGTTGCCATTGCTTTTGGTGTTTTAGACCTGAAGTCCTTGCCCATGCCTATGTCCTGAATGGTAATGCCTAGGTTTTCTTCTAGGGTTTTTATGGTTTTAGGTCTAATGTTTAAGTCTTTAATCCAACTTGAATTGATTTTTGTATAAGGTGTAAGGAAGGGATCCAGTTTCAGCTTTCTACATATGACTAGCCAGTTTTCCCAGCACCATTTATTAAATAGGGAATCCTTTCCCCATTGCTTGTTTTTCTCAGGGTTGTCAAAGATCAGATAGTTGTAGATATGTGGCGTTATTTCTGAGGGCTCTGTTCTGTTCCATTGATCTATATCTCTGTTTTGGTACCAGTACCATGCTGTTTTGCTTACTGTAGCCTTGTAGTATAGTTTGAAGTCAGGTAATGTGATGCCTCCAGCTTTGTTCTTTTGGCTTAGGATTGACTTGGCGATGCGGGCTCTTTTTTGGTTCCATATGAACTTTAAA